>NC_000007.14:89779506-90082536 GCF_000001405.40 Homo sapiens
TATGTAATCTTTTCAGATTTTTATTTAGCAATATATACTTGAAGTCTCTCCATGTCTTTTCATGGTTTGATAGCCATTCACTTTTATTGCTGAATAATATTCCATTATGTGGATGCATCACAGATTGTTTCCCCTTCCCCTATTGAAGGAAATATTGGTTGCTTCTAGTTTTGGGTAATTATTAATATGAATTAAATTGCTGTAAGCATTTGCATGCAGTTTTGGAATGTGGAATACAGATATAAGTTTTTAAGTAAGTTGAATAAATATATAGGTGGACAATTGCTAAACTGCATGGTAACAGTATTGATAGGGACAGGAGGCAGAAAAGAGCGGGTCCTTGGCAAAACTCCACCCTCCAGCTGAAAAAGCCTGAAACTGCGGCCCAAAGTAAGAACTTACATCCCTGTTTTCCCACTGGAATGTTACCTTTTCCTAAATCACTCATGGCCCTGCCCTGCCCTGCCCTGCCCCACCCCACCCTATGCCTATAAAAACCCCAGACTCAGCTGGTAGACGGGACTATGGCTGGACATCAGAGAGAAGTAGCTTCACTTCAGAGGCACAACTTGTTGGCATAACTTCAAAGAAGAATCCATCTGGAGACAGCCGGACTTCAGGGGAAGTTTACCTACCAACTTCATCCCGTTTTCATCCCCCCTTCCCACTGAAAGCCTCTATCATCAGCTATAAAGTCCCTTGCATTTACCGTTGTTCTATTCATTAGTGTGACCTTATTTTTCATGGATGCTGGACAAGAGCTCAGGAATGATGAATACAGATACAAAATGTCACACTGGCCCTTTACTCTTGCTGGCAGAAAGAAGCTGCCTCACATGAAAAGGCAAAGGTCCACTGAGCTGTTAATGCTTAAGCCATCCGTGAATGGCAGAGCTAAATGAGCATGTAACACACCCTCTGGGGCTTTGGGAGTAGCAGGCACCCCCGCCTGGATGCTGCCACAGGGACTGCACAGAGTTCACTGCTGCTGGTGCCCAAAAATGGTCAGCCAGAGCCTGTACTCATTCACCTACTTATTCCCTCCCACAAGGGGATAAGCACAGTGAGCTGAGTAAATGGAGTTTGTTCCTGCCAGCGGTCAAAAGCACTTGCTCTGTTTCCTGCACTCATTTGCCCTCATGTTACCTCCAGCGAGTGGTAGACAGGGGAAAGCTAAGCAAGTGAGGCACTCCTGTTGCGAGTCCCATGACGGGGTAAAGAAAATATTCTGATTCACTATGTTTAACTTTATAAGAAACTGCTTCAGTTGTCTTCCAATGTGGCTGTATTATTTTGCATTCTCACTAGCAAGAATGAGAGGTCCAGTTGTTCCACATCCTCACCAGCAATCACTATCGTCTGTTCTTTGGCTTTTAGCCACTCTAATAGGTGTATAATGATATCTCATGGTTGTTTTAATTTGCATTTTTCTAATGAAAAAATGATGCTGAGCATGTTTTCATACGATTATTGGTCATTTCATGGGTGAGATGTCTGTTCAGGTCTTCTGACCACTTTTTAATTGGGCTGTTCTTTCTTCCAGTTGAGTTTTAAGAATTTTTAAAGTTTCTCTGATACAAGTTCTTTATCAGATATGTGATTTCCAATATTTTCTCCAAGTCTGTGGCTTCTCTTTTAATTCTCTTAACAGTGTTTTTTGTGGAGCAGAAGTTTTAAACTTTTATTCAGTCCAACTTATCATTATTTTATGAATTGTTCTTTTGATGTTTTATCTAAAAATTCATCAGCAAACCAAAGCTCATACAGATTTTCTTCTATATTTTCTTCTAAAAATGTTATAGTTTTCCATTATACATTTAAGTCTATGATTCATTTAAGCTTATTTTTTGTATAAGGTCTCTGTCTAAATATACAGATGCACAATATTTTTAGCACAATTCCTAAAAAGAATATCTTTTCAGCACTGAATTGTCTTCATGCCTATTGACTATATTTATGTGGTTTTAATTCTGGGCTCTCTATCATCTATCACTCACCTATTTGTCTACTCTTTTACCAGTACACCACGTCATCTCAAATGTTGTAGCTTTAGTTTAAATCTTGAAATCAAGTAGTGTGAGTCTTTCAACATTGTTTTTCTTCTTCGGTTTTATATTCTAGATCTTTTACCTTTCCATATAAACTTTAGAATCAATTTGTTAATTTCTAAAAAATAGCATGCTGAGCTTTTCTTGGGTATTGTGTTAAATCCAGAAATCAGGTAGGAAAGAATCAATATATTGAGCCTTCCAATACATGAACATAGAATATCTTTTCATTTATTTAAATGTCTGATTATTTTTTGATGAATGATTTGCAAGTTTTGACATAAACAGCCTGCATATATTTTGTTAGATTTATATCTATGGTTGTTTTTTGTTTGCTTGCTTTGGTGCTATTGTAAATTGTAATAATTTTAAATTTCTAAACCCAATTTTTCATTACTGATACAAAATTTTTCATTACTGATAAAAGCAATTTTGTGCAATGACTTGGTGTCTTATAGTCTTATTATACTAGCAAGATCATGAGTTTTTTGTAGACTAATTGATATTTTCTACATCTGTCATCTGCTAATAAAGACAATTTTATTTTTTCTTTACAATATGTATATCATTTAATCTTTGCTTTCTTTTATTTCATGAACTAGGACTTCCAGAACAATGCTGAATAAGAGTGATGGAAGAGGACACATTTGCTTGTTCCCAATCTAAGAGGAAAAGGATCCAATGTCTCACCATTAGTTACAGTTTACTATTTTTAATGTGCTTTGGATTTTGTTTGTTAATATTTTATTGAAAATTATTGTATTGATATTCAGTTTATTTTTTAGACAATTTTTGTCAGTTCAGGAAAAGTGTCATACTTTACTAATAGCAAGTAATTTAGAAGTTTTATATCTTTTTTAATTAAAATAATTTAGGTAGAAATGGGATCTATTTCTAGGTCTATAATCATATCATCTGCAAACAGGGGTAGTTTAACTTACTCTCTTCCTATTTGGATGCCATTTATTTTTTTCTCTTGCCTGGTTGCTCTGGCTAGGACTTCCAATACTATGCTGAATAGAAGTGGTTAAAGAAGGCTTGTCTTGTGTCACCTTTCAAGGGGAATGCTTCCAGCTTTTGCCCATTCAGTATGATGTTGTCTGTAGGTTTGTCATAGACAGCTCATGTTATTTTGAGGTACGTTCCTTCAATATCTGGTTTATTAAGAACTTTTAACATGAAGGATGTTGAATTTTATCAAAAAACTTTTCTGAATCTTTTGAAATAATCATGGTTTTTGTCTTCAGTTCTGTTTATGTAAGGAATCACATTTCTCGATTTACATACCAAACTTGCACCCTGGGATAAAGTCTACTTGATCATGGTATATTAGTTTTTTGCTGTTCTGCTGTATTCAGTTTACAAGTATTTTGTTGAGGACTTTTTATAGATGTTCATCATGGATATTGGCATGAAGTTTTCTTTTGTTGTCATGTCTCTGCCAGATTTTAGTCACAGGATGATGCTGGCCTCGTGGAATGAGTTGAGAAGGAGTCCCTCCGATGGAATTTTTGAGAACAGTTTCAGTAGAAATGGTACCAACACTTATTTGTACATCTGATAGAATTTGGCTGTGAATCCATCTGCTCCTGGGCTTTTTTGTTGTTAGGCTATTTATTACAGATTCAATTTTGGAGCTCATTATTAGTCTGTTCAGGGAATCAATTTCTTCCTGGTTCATTCTTGGGAACGTATATGTGTCCAGGAATTTATCTATCTCTTCTAAGTTTTCTAGTTTGTGTTAATAGAGGTATTCATAGTAGTTTCTGATGGTTTGTCTTATTTTTGTGAGACAGTGGTAACAACCTGTTTATAATTTCTAATTGTGTTTATTTGAATTGTCTCTCTCTTCTTTTTTATTATTCTAGCTAGTGGCCTATCTTATCAATTCTTTCAAAAAACAAACTCCTGGGTTTTTTCATCTTTTGAATGGTTTTTTGTGTCTCAATTTCCTTCAGTTCAGCTCTGACTTTGGTTTTTTCTTGTCTTCTGCTACCTTTGGGGTTGATTTGTTCTTGCTTCTCTATTCTTTCAGTTGTGCTGTTTGATTGTTAATTAGAGACCTTTCTTACTTTTTGATGTGGGCATTTATTGTTATGAATTTTCCCTTTAACACTGCCTAAGCTGTATCCCAAAGATTCTGAGATGCTGTGTCTTTGTTCTCATTTGTTTCAAAGAACTTCTTGATTTCTGCCTTAATTTCATTATTTACCCAAAAATCATTCAGGAGCATGTTGTTTAATTTCTATGTAATTGCATGGTTTTGACGGATTTTCTTAGTCTTGACTTTTATTTTTCTTGTGCTATGATCTGAGAGTGTGTTTGATGCAATTTATTTTCTTTTGCATTGGGCAAACAATATTTTCTGTCCAATTATGTGGTCGATTTTAGAGTATGTGCCATGTGATGATGAGAAGAATGTATATTCTGTTCTTTTGGAGTGGAGAGTTCTGTAAAAGTCTATGAGAGCCATTTGGTTTAATGATGAGTTCAAATACTAAATGTATTTGCTATTTTTCTGCCTACATTATCTGTTTAATATTGTCAGTAGAGTGTTTATTCTCCCACTATTATTGTGTGGGAGTCTACATCTCTTTGTAAGTGTCTAAGAACTTGCTTTATGAATCCGGGTGTCCATGTATTGGGTACATTTTTCTTTTGTTTTCTAGTTGTTTTTGAGTTAGGTATATATCTTATATTATTCTTTTCATTCTTATTGATAAAAGAGGCAAGAACTAAGAATGTATATATGTCAGATATTTAGGTCTTCTTGTTGAATGGAACCCTTTACCATTATGTAGTGCCCTTCTATGTCTTTGAAATTAGGATTGCAACCATGCTCTTTACTTTCTTCCATTTGCTTGGTAGATTTTCTTTCATCCCATTACTTTTGAGACTGTGGGGGTCATTACATGTGAGATGTGACTCTTGAAGAGAGCATACCATTGTGTTATCTAGAACACCTCATACTCTCAGCCCAAAATGTCCATCAGCGATAAACAACTCCAGCAAAGTTTCAGGATACAAAATAAATGTACAAAAATCCTTACCATTCTTATAAAGTAACAACAGACAAACCAAGGGCCAAACCAGGTAGGCCATTCTATTCACAATTGCCACAAAAAGAATAATATACCTAGGAATACAGCTAACCAGGGAGGTGAAAGATCTCTACAATAAGAATTACAAAATACTGCTCAAAGAAATCGGAGATGGCACAAACAAATGGAAAAACATCCTATGCTCACAGATAGGAAGAATCAATACCATTAAAAAGGTCATATAGCCAAAAGCAATTTATAGATTCAATACTACTTCTGTCAAATGACCAACTACATTCTTCAAAGAACTAGAAAAAAAACTATTTTAAAATTCATATAGAACCAAAAATAGCTTGACTAACCAAGGCAACCCTAAGCAAAAAGAACAAAGCTGGAGGTATCACATCACCTGACTTCAAACTATACTACAGGGCTACAGTAACCAAAACAGAATGACACTCATACAAAAACAGACACATAGATCAATGGAACAGAATAAAGAGCACAGAATTTTGGCCTCACCCCAATGACCATCTGATCTTCAACAAAGGAGACAAAAACAAACAATGGGGAAACGACTGCTTATTCAATAAATGGTACTGGGATAACTGGATAACCATATGCAGAAGATTGAAGCTAGACCCCTTCCTTATACTACATACAAAAATCAACTCAAGGTGGATTAAAGGCTTAAAAGTAAAACCCCGAAATATAATAACACTGGAAGTCAATCTAACTAATGCAATCCTGGACATATGAATGGGCAAATATTTCATGACAAAGATGCCAAAGCAATCGCAACAAAAGCAAAAATTGACAAGTGGGATCTAATTAAACTTAAGAGCTTCTGCACAGCAACAGACAACCTACAGAATGGGAAAAAATATTTGCAAACTATGCATATAACAAAGGTCTCATATCCAGAATCTGTAAGGAACTTAAACTTACAAGAGAAAAACAAACAACCCCATTAAAAAGTGGGCAAATAACATGAACAGATGCTTTTCAAAAGAAGACACATATGGGGCCAAAAAGCATATGAAAGAAAGCTCAATGTCACTGATTATTAGAGAAATGCAAATCAAAAGCGGAATGAAATACCATCTCACATCCATAGAATGGCTATATTAAAAAGTCAACAAAATAACAGATGCTGAGAAAAGGGAACACACACTCTGTTGGTGGGAGTGTAAATTAGTTCAACCATTGTAGAAGACAGTTTGGCGATTCCTCAAAGACCTAAAGACTGAAATATCATTTGACCCAGTAATCCCATTGCCGGGTATGTAGCCAGAGGAATGTAAATCATTCTACCATGAAGACTGTAGCTTTTTTGGATAGTTCTTTATTACTTTATTCCATAGAGTTTGATCTGTTTAAACCTTCAATCTCATTTGGAGTCAATTTTGAAGATTCTGTTTTCCTAGTAAATTGTAAATTTTATATAGAATCTCAAATATATTTTGAAAGAGGTGTTTTAAATTTCCTCTGCTTTAATATTTCCCCTCATATTTTCTTTTAGGTATTTGCCTTTACCCTCTTTTTCTTTTTGATTAGGCTAATTAGGGCTTTGTCTACACCGTTGAATTTTTAGCAAAGCCACCATTTTGATTTATTTATAGTTCTAATAAGATGTTTTCTACTTTCTACTTTATTATATTTTTATATTTATTTTTTGTTTTTCTTTTGTTTTCTAGTTGTTTTTGAGTTAGGTATATATCTTATGTTATTCTTTTCATTCTTATTGATGAAAGAAGCAAGAACTGAGAATTTCCCTCTGATTACTGCTTTAAGTTGTATCCAATAGAACCTAATGTAGTTTTAACAATTATTTTTGCTTAGAAATTCTGCAAATTTAGTTTTTTATTTCCCTTTTACCTATATTCAATAGAAAGTTTTTAAATTTTCAAGTTAAAGGGAATTTTTGTTCTTAATATTGTTATTAATTTCTAATTTATTGTATTGTGATATGAGAATGTTATTTTTACTTCTGTTTTACAGAATTTGTTGTGATCAATTTTTGTAAATGATTCATATGTTTATAGGAAGTTTTATGCACATCTATAATGTCTACATTATTGGTGTGTTGCTTTTGTCTATTGCACTAAGAATGTTATTTTAAACTCCCCATAATATTGCTTTATAGTTGTCTATTTTTTTCTGTATTATGAAGTTTTTGCTGCCTGTTTGGTGCAAAAAGATCCATATTGTTCTGTCTTTGATGTAAATTTTAACTTTTACTTTATAAAGTTTCCCTCTTCCTTTCATTGTTGCCTTTGGCCTGCTTTCTGCTTTGCCTGATATCAGTATTACAACCTCCACTTTTCTATTGTTTGTGTTTGTCTCTGAACGGTTGCCCATAACTTAACTTGCAGCCATCCTGAATCACTTAATTTTGGTTTAACTGTATTTTGTGTACCACTCCAAAAATTATTTGATTTGTTGAGTGAGCTAAGCCCATGTATATGTGTTAATATAACTGATACATCTGGCATCAAAGTTTTATTTTTTTGCTACATTTAATGTGTACACTTTGTTATATTTACTGTTTCTAATTTCTGTATTTTTTTCTTTGCTGTTTAATTGTACTCCTTTTGCTATTTAGAAAGTTAATACTATTGCAGTAGCTACCTTTAACACATTTCATAATGACTTAGTTCCTCCTTTTTAAAATTAGCTTTTTAATATTAGAATTGGCAGCTTTAGATATATTTATTTAGAAGTTATATATTTAGATATCTATATTTAGAATTGTAGGCTTAGATATTCTTTTATTTCCATTTATTGTCTATGTGGCAATCAATGAGCCTATTGTACTTTTCTCCTTTTATATACCTCCCATTTTTTCAGTTATGTTTTCTTCTCATTTATTACAATTTAGAACACTGACATACTAACCTTCAACACTGTACTCACCTGAATTTTATTCTTAGAGCTTCACTTAAATACCTTAAGTAAATACTACCAGTCCTTTTCCCAAAGTTCCCCCATCATGTGTTAATCAAATGAAATTTTTTATCTCTAGATGCCTCAAAATGTGCTCATGAGTAAAATATTTCCAGATTACTCGAATGCTTACAGCATTTGCATGGTTACAGCATGTTATATAACCTTAACACATTAAGGATACTGTGATAGAAAAGAATCCTTACCTCAAATTTTCTTTCCTTTTTTTAAAACTTTTATTTTAGGTTCAGAGGTATATGTGCAGGTTTGTTATATAGGTAAATTACATGTCACAGGAGTTTGGTGTACAGATTATTTTGCTACCAAGATAATAAACATAGTACCTGATAAGCAGTATTTTAATTGTCACCCTCCTACCTCCCTCCACCCTCAAGTAGGCACCAGTGTCTGATTTCCTTCTTCAAGGTAATATATATTCAATGTTTAACTCCCACTTATAAGTGAGAACATGCAGTATTTGTTTTTGTGTTCCTATGTTACTTCACTTAGGAAAATGACCTCCAGCTCTATCCATGTTGCTGCAAAGGACATGATGTCCTTCTTTTTTATGGCTGTATTCCATGGTGTATATGTACCACATTTTCTTTATCCAGTCTAGTCTTGATAAGGATTTAAGTTGAATTCATGACTTCGCTACTGTGATAAGTGCTTCAGTGAACATACATGTGCGTGTGTCTCTATGATAGATGGTTTATATTCCTTTGGGTATGTACCCAATAATGGGATCACTGGGTCGAATGGTAATTCTACTTGGAGTTCTTCAAGAAATCACCAAACTGATTTCCACAATGGCTACACTAATTTACATTCCCAGTAGCAGTGTATACACATTCCCTTCTCTCTGCAACCTCACCAGTATCTGCTATTCGTTGACTTTCTAATGATAGTTATTATGACTGGTATAAGTTGGTATCTCATCGTGGTGTTGATTTGCATTTTTCTAATGATTAGTCATGTTGAACATTTTTTATATGCTTGGTGACCATGCATATGTCTTCTTTCTAAAAGTGTCTGTTTATGTCCTTTGCTCACTTTTTCAAATTTATTTTTTATTACTTTAAGTTCTAAGATGCATGTGCAGAACGTGCAGGTTTGTTACACAGGTATACATGTGCCATGGTGATTTGCTGCACCCATCAACCAATCATCTACATTAGGTATTTCTCCTAATGCTATCCCTCCCCTTGTCCCACCCCCCGGGCCTGAGTGTGTGATGTTCTCCTCCCTGTGCCCCTATGTTCTAATTGTGCAACTCCCACTTATGAATGAGAACACTGGTGTTTGGTTTTCTGTTCCTTTATTAGATTACTGAGAATGATGGTTTACAGCTTCATCCACGTCCTTGCAAAGGACATGAACTCATTCTTTTTTATAGCTACATAGTATTCCATGGTGTATATGACTTTGCCCACTTACTTTTTGTTTTTTTTGTTTTTATTATACTTTAAGTTTTAGGGTACATGTGCACATTGTGCAGGTTAGTTACATATGTATACATGTGCCATGCTGGTGCACTGCACCCACTAACTCGTCATCTAGCATTAGGTATATCTCCCAATGCTATCCCTCCCCCCTACCCCCACCCCACCACAGTCCCCAGAGCGTGATGTTCCCCTTCCTGTGTCCATGTGATCTCATTGTTCAATTCCCACCTATGAGTGAGAATATGTGGTGTTTGGTTTTTTGTTCTTGTGATAGTTTACTGAGAATGACGATTTCCAATTTCATCCATGTCCCTACAAAGGACATGAACTCATCATTTTTTATGGCTGCATAGTATTCCATGGTGTATATGTGCCACATTTTCTTAATCCAATCTATCACTGTTGGACATTTGGGTTGGTTCCAAGTCTTTGCTATTGTGAATAATGCTGCAATAAACATACGTGTGCATGTGTCTTTATAGCAGCATGATTTATAGTCCTTTGGGTATATACCCAGTAATGGGATGGCTGGGTCAAATGGTATTTCTAGTTCTAGATCCCTGAGGAATCGCCACACTGACTTCCACAATGGTTGAACTAGTTTACAGTCCCACCAACAGTGTAAAAGTGTTCCCATTTCTCCACATCCTCTCCAGCACCTGTTGTTTCCTGACTTTTTAATGATTGCCATTCTAACTGGTGTGAGATGATATCTCATTGTGGTTTTGATTTGCATTTCTCTGATGGCCAGTGATGATGAGCATTTTTTCATGTGTTTTTTGGCTGCATAAATGTCTTCTTTTCAGAAGTGTCTGTTCATGTCCTTCGCCCACTTTTTGATGGGGTTGTTTGTTTTTTTCTTGTAAATTTGTTGGAGTTCATTGTAGATTCTGGATATTAGCCCTTTGTCAGATGAGTAGGCTGCGAAAATTTTCTCCCATTTTGTAGGTTGCCTGTTCACTCTGATGGTAGTTTCTTTTGCTGTGCAGAAGCTCTTTAGTTTAATTAGATCCCATTTGTCAATTTTGGCTTTTGTTGCCATTGCTTTTGGTGTTTTAGACATGAAGTCCTTGCCCGTGCCTATGTCCTGAATGGTAATGCCTAGGTTTTCTTCTAGGGTTTTTATGGTTTGAGGTCTAACATTTAAGTCTTTAATCCATCTTGAATTAATTTTTCTATAAGGTGTGAGGAAGGGATCCAGTTTCAGCTTTCTACATATGGCTAGCCAGTTCTCCCAGCACCATTTATTAAATAGGGAATCCTTTCCCCATTGCTTCTTTTTCTCAGGTTTGTCAAAGATCAGATAGTTGTAGATATGTGGCATTATTTCTGAGGGCTCTGTTCTGTTCCATTGATCTATATCTCTGTTTTGGTACCAGTACCATGCTGTTTTGGTTACTGTAGCCTTGTAGTATAGCTTGAAGTCAGGTAGTGTGATGCCTCCAGCTTTGTTCTTTTGGCTTAGGATTCACTTGGCAATGCGGGCTCTTTTTTGGTTCCATATGAACTTTAAAGTAGTTTTTTCCCATTCTGTGAAGAAAGGCATTGGTAGCTTGATGGGGATGGCATTGAATCTATAAATTACCTTGGGCAGTATGGCCATTTTCACGATATTGATTCTTCCTACCCATGAGCATGGAATGTTCTTCCATTTGTTTGTATCCTCTTTTATTTCCTTGAGCAGTGGTTTGTAGTTCTCCTTGAAGAGGTCCTTCACATCCCTTGTAAGTTGGATTCCTAGGTATTTTATTCTCTTTGAAGCAATTGTGAATGGGAGTTCACTCATGATTTGGCTCTCTGTTTGTCTGTTGTTGGTGTATAAGAATGCTTGTGATTTTTGCACATTGATTTTGTATCCTGAGACTTTGCTGAAATTGCTTATCAGCTTAAGGAGATTTTGGGCTGAGACAATGGGGTTTTCTAGATATACAATCATGTCGTCTGCAAACAGGGACAATTTGACTTCCTCTTTTCCTAATTGAATACCTTTTATTTCCTTCTCCTGCCTAATTGCCCTGGCCAGAACTTCCAACACTATGTTGAATAGGAGTGCTGAGAGAGGGCATCCCTGTCTTGTGCCAGTTTTCAGAGGGAATGCTTCCAGTTTTTGCCCATTCAGTATGATATTGGCTGTGGGTTTGTCATAGATAGCTCTTATTATTTTGAAATACGTCCCATCAATACCTAATTTATTGAGAGTTTTTAGCATGAACGGTTGTTGAATTTTGTCAAAGGCTTTTTCTGCATCTATTGAGATAATCATGTGGTTTTTGTCTTTGGTTCTGTTTATATGCTGGATTACATTTATTGATTTGTGTATATTGAACCAGCCTTGCATCCCAGGGATGAAGCCCACTTGATCATGGTGAATAAGCTTTTTGATGTGCTGCTGGATTCGTTTTGCCAGTATTTTATTGAGGATTTTTGCATCAATGTTCTTCAAGGATATTGGTCTAAAATTCTCTTTTTTTGTTGTGTCTCTCCCTGGCTTTGGTATCAGAATGATGCTGGCCTCATAAAAAGAGTTAGGGAGGATTCCCTCTTTTTCTATTGATTGGAATAGTTTCAGAAGGAATGGTACCAGTTCCTCCTTGTACCTCTGGTAGAATTCGGCTTTGAATCCATCTGGTCCCTGACTCTTTTTGGTTGGTAAGCTATTGATTATTGCCACAATTTCAGTTCCTGTTATTGGTCTATTCAGAGATTCAACTTCTTCCTGGTTTAGTCTTGGGAGAGTGTATGTGTCGAGTGATTTATCCATTTCTTCTAGATTTTCTAGTTTATTTGCGTAGAGGTGTTTGTAGTATTCTCTGATGGTAGTTTGTATTTCTGTGGGATCGGTGGTGATATCCCCTTTATCATTTTTTATTGCATCTATTTGATTCTTCTCTCTTTTTTTCTTTATTAGTCTTGCTAGCGGTCTATCAATTTTGTTGATCCTTTCAAAAAACCAGCTCCTGGATTAATTTTTGGAAGGGTTTTTTGTGTCTCTATTTCCTTCAGTTCTGCTCTGATTTTAGTTATTTCTTGCCTTCTGCTAGCTTTTGAATGTGTTTGCTCTTGCTTTTCTAGTTCTTTTATTTGTGATGTTAGGGTGTCAATTTTGGATCTTTCCTGCTTTCTCTTGTGGACATTTAGTGCTATAAATTTCCCTCTACACACTGCTTTGAATGCGTCCCACAGGTTCTGGTATGTTGTGTCTTTGTTCTCATTGGTTTCAAAGAACATCTTTATTTCTGCCTTCATTTCGTTATGTACCCAGTAGTCATTCAGGAGCAGGTTGTTCAGTTTCCATGTAGTTGAGCGGTTTTGAGTGAGATTCTTAATCCTGAGTTCTAGTTTGATTGCACTGTGGTCTGAGAGATAGTTTGTTATAATTTCTGTTCTTTTACATTTGCTGAGGAGAGCTTTACTTCCAACTATGTGGTCAATTTTGGAATAGGTGTGGTGTGGTGCTGAAAAGAATGTATATTCTGTTGATTTGGGGTGGAGAGTTCTGTAGATGTCTATTAGGTCCGCTTGGTGCAGAGCTGAGTTCAATTCCTGGGTATCCTTGTTGACTTTCTGTCTCGTTGATCTGTCCAACGTTGACAGTGGGGTGTTAAAGTCTCCCATTATTAATGTGTGGGAGTCTAACTTTGCCCACTTTTTAATGGACTTGTTTTTTGCTTTTTGATTTCTTAAAGTTCCTTATAGATTCTGGATATTAGAACTTTGTCGTATGCATAATTTGCAAATATTTTCTCCCATTCTGTAAGTGGTGTATTTACTCTGTTGTTAGTTTCTTTTGCTGTAAAGAAGCTATTGAGATTAATTAGGTCCCATTTGTCAATTTTTATTTGGTTGCAACTGCTTTTGTTTTCTTCATCATAAAATCTTTGCCAGGTCCTATGTCAGGATGGTACTTCCTAGGTTATATTCCAGGGTTTTTATACTTTCAGGTTTTGTATTTAAGTCTTTAATCCATCTTCAGATGATTTTGAATATGGTGTAAAGAACAGGTCCAGATTCAACATTCTGCATGGGGCTAGTCAGTTATTGCAACAGGGAGTTGCAATATTTATTAAACAGGCAGTCCTTTCCTCATTGCTTATTTTTGTCAACTTTGTCAGGGATCAGATGGTTGTGAAACAGGAGAGTTCTGTTATCCCTTTTGCAGGGTGTTCAACAGGGGTGTGGCTCACTTCTTCGGTGCCCCACTGCTCAAACCCCTAGGGGAACCGTGCAGACAAGCAGGTGAAGAGGTTGTGGGGAGGATTTTTGGGCTTCGACCCCATGGCAGTATCTAGGGGTCAGTGTTTACAAAGCCTGAAACCCAAATAGGCATGTGTTACATTGTGCTCTTTCAGCTTTGCTAGCTACAGGCAGCTTGTGTTAATCAGCTCAATCAGACTCTACACCTTGTCATAAGGACAGATGGCTTTTTGTATCCCGGGTCCTTGCCCTAGTGTACCAGAAAAATGGAATCACACATGGGCTTGCAGGATGAGTGCAAGGTTTTATTAAGTGGTGGAGGTAGCTCTCAGAGAAATGGAGATAGATGGGGAGTCAGAGGGGGATGGATTAGGAAGGTGGTCTTCCCCTGGAATTGGATTGCCCAGCAGCCAGACTCTCCTCTGATATCCCCAAGCTGAATTCCCCTTGGCATCCACATCATTTCACCATTCCTGGTCTGCTGGTGTCTGCTGAAGTCTGTCAGTGTGTTCTGCTCCTCTCAACTCCAGCTGCTTGTGTCTGTACCCACTGTGGTCTTGAGTTTTTATGGGCACAGGATGGTGGCATGGCGGGCCACAGTGGTCTTGGAAAATGCAACATTTGGGTGTAAAAACAGGAGTGCCTGTTCTCACTTAGGTCCGTGGGCACAGGCCTGAGGGTAGAGCCCTCACCAAGGACCCCATCCTTCTCTATCCAGCACTTCCCTGCTCCCATCCCATGTCAGTTGCAGGTGTGCAGCATTATTTCTGAGCTCTCTATTCTGTTTCATTGGTCTATATTTCTGTTTTTGTAACAGTACCATGCATTTTGGTTACTGTAGCCTCAGTATGATTTGAAGTTGGGTGATGTAATGCCTTCAGCTTTGTTCTTTTTGCTTAGAATTGCCTTGACAATTCAAGCTTTTTTGGGTTCCATATGAATTTTCAATTTCTTTCTTTTTTGTAATTCTGTAAAGAATGTCATTGGTAGTTTGATAGGAATAGCATTTAATCTGTAAATTGCTTTAGATAGGATGGCCATTTAACAATAATTATTCTTCCTATCCATGAGCATGAAATATTTTTACATTTGTGACTTCTCTGATTTCTTTGAGCAGTGTTTTGTAATTCTCATTGTAGAGATCTTTCACCTCCCTAGTTAGCTGCATTCCTAGGTATTTTATTCTTTTTATGGCTATTGTGAATGGGATTGTGTTAGTGATTTGGTTGTCAGCCTGAATGTTGTTGTTGAATACGAATGCCACTGATTTTTGTATGTTGATTTTTGTATCCTAAAACTTTGCCAAAGTTGATTATCAGATAAATGAGTTTTGGGGCATAGACTATGGGGTTTTCTATGTGTAGATTCATATGATCTGCAAATAAGGATAGTTTGACTTATTCTCTTCCTATTTAGATACCTTTTATTTCTTTATCTTGTTCAATTGCTCTGGCCAGGATTTACAGTTCTATATTGCATAGGAGTGGTAAGAAAGAACATCCAGGTCTTGCTCTGGTTTTTATAGGAAATGTTTCAAGCTATTGCCCATTCAGTATGACGCTGGCTGTGGGATTGTCATAGATGGCTCTTATTTTTTTGAGGTTTGTTCATTCAATGCCTGCTTGTTGAAGGTTTTTAACATTAAGCAACATTCAATTTCATCAAAAGCCTTTTCTGCATCTTTTGAGATTATCATATGGTTTTTGTTTTTAAGTCTCTTTATGTAATGAATCGCATTTATTCATTTTGCATATGTTGAACCAACCTTGCATCCCATTGATAAAGGCTCTTTGATCATAGTGCATTAGCTTTTTGATGTGCTGCTGGATTCAATTTGCTAGTATTTTGTTTAGGATTTTTGCATGGCTACCAAAGACAATGGCCGGAAGTTTTCCTTTTTTGTTTTGTCTCTGCCAGATGTTGGTATCATGATAATGCTGGCCTCCTAGAACAAACTGGAGAGGAATCCCTCCTCCTCAATTTTTTTGGAATAATTTTCATATAAATGGTTCCAGTTCTTAACATATCTTACAGAATTAAGCTGCGGATTTATCTGGTCATAGGCTTTTTTGGGTTGGCAGGCTTTTATTACTGATTCAAACTTAGAACTTTTTATTGGTCTGTTCAGGAATTCAGTCTCTTCCTGGTTCAATCTTGGGAAATCGTATCATTCCAGGAATGTATCCACTTCTAGGTTTTCCAGCTTCTGTCATAGAGCTGCTTGCAGTAGTCTGAGGGTTTTTGTATTTCTCTGGGGTCAGTGGTTATGTCCCCTTTGTCATATTCAATTGTTTTTATTTTTATATTCTCTCTTCTTTAAGTCTAGCTAGTGGTCTATCTATCTTACTAATTCTTTCAAAGAAGAAACTCCTGGAATTGTTGATCTTTTGTTTGCTTTTTTTGCATCTCAATCTTCTTCAATTCAGATCTCATTTTGGTTATTTCTTCTCTTCTTCTGGCTTTGGGGTTGGTTGCCTCTTGTTTCTCTAGTTCCTCTAGTTGTGATGTTAGATTTTTAATCTGAGATCTTTCTAACATTTTGATGTGGGTGTTTAATGCCATAAACTTTCCTCTTAACACTGCTTTAGCTGTGTCCCAGAGACCCTCTTATGTTGTATCTTTGTTTTCATTAGTTTCAAAGAATTTATTGATTTCTATTTTAATTTCATTATTTACCCACTAGTAATTTAAGAGAAGGTTAATTTCCATGAAATTGTATGGTTATGAGTGATTTTCTTAGTATTGATTTCAATTTTTTTTTGCACTGTGGTCCAAGAGAATGTGGTTGGTATGATTTTGATTTGTTGCTGTTGTTTTTGAATTTAAGAATTGTTCCATGGCCAATCGTGTGGTCAGTTTTAAAGTATGGGACATGTGCAGGTGAGAAGAATGTACGTTCCATTGTTTCTGGTTGGAGAGTTCTGTAGATGTATGTTAAGTCCATTTGGTCAAGTGTTGAGTTAAAGGCCTGGATATCTTTGTTATTTTTCTGCCTTGATGATCTGTCTAATATTGTCAGTGGGGTGTTAAAGTCCCTCACTCTTATTGTATGGTTATCTAAGTCTCTTTGTAGGTCTATAAAAATTTGCTTTACGAATCTAGGTGCTCCTGTGTTTGGTGCATATATATTTACATAATTAAATCTTGTTGAGTTGAGCCCTCTACAATTATGTAACTCACTTCTTTGTGTTTTTTATCTTAGTTGGTTTAAGTCTGCTTTGTCTGAAATTAGAATAGTAACCCATGCTTCTTTCTGTTTTCCATTTGCTTGGTAGACTTTTCTTCATGCTTTTACTTTGAGCCTATGGGTATCACTGCATGTGAGATGGGTATCTTGAAGACAGTATCCAATTGGGTCTTGCTTCTTTATTCAACTTGCCAAACTGTGCCTTTTAATTGGGGCATTTAGTCCATTTACATTCAAGGTTAGTATTGATATGTGTGGATTTGATCCTGTCTTTGTATTGTTACCTTGTTATTATGCAGACATGTTAGTGTGGTTGCTTTATTATGTCACTGGTCTCTGCAATTAAATGTGATTCTTTTGTGTCACTGGTCTCTGCAATTAAATGTGATTCTTTTGTGGTGAGCATTGATTTTTTCTTTCCATAAGCACTCCCTTCAGGACCTCTTGAAAGGTACGTGTGGTGATAACGAATTCCCTTGGCATTTGCATGTCTGAAAATAATCTTATTTATCCTTCGCCTATAAAACTTAGTTTGGCTGAGTATGAAATTCTTGTTTGGAAATTCTTTTATTCAAGAATGTTGAATATAGGCTTCCAGTCTTTTCTGGCTTTTAGAGTTTCTGCTCAAATGTCCACTGTTAGCCTGATGGGGTTCACTTTGTAGGTGTTTTGGCACTTCTCTCTAGCTGCCTTTAACACTTTTTCCTTCATTCTGACCTTAGAGAATCTGATAACTATGTGTCTTGGGGATGGTCTTCTTGTGTACTGTTTTGCAGGGGTTCTCCACATTTCCTGAATTATTACATTGGCATCTGTATTGAGGTTGGGGAAATTTTCATGGATGATATCCTGAAATATGTTTTCCAAGTTGCTTGCTTCCTCTCCTTCTCTTAGGGACACCAATGAGTAGTAGATTTGGTCTCTTTACATAAGACCACATTTCTCAGAGGTTTCGTTCATTCTTCCTTATTGTTTATTTATTTTTGTCTGACTGAGTTATTTTGGAGAGCCATCTTCAAGTTCTAAGTTTCTTTTCTCTGCTTGGTTGATTTTGCTGTTAATACTTGTGATTGTATTCTAAAATTCTTGAAGTAAGTTTTTCATTTCTATCAGATCAGTTTGGTTATTTCTTAAAATGGCCATTTCTTCTTTTATCTCCTGTATCATTTTACTGCATTCCTTAGAGTCCTCATATTGAGTTTTGACTTTCTGCTGAACACTGATGCTCTTCATTCCTATCCAGAGTCTGAATTCTATTTCTGTCATTTCAGCCATTTCAGCCTGGTTAAGAACCATTGCTGGGGAAATATTCCTGTTTTTGGAGGTAAGAAAACACTCTGGCTATTTGAGTTTCCAGAGTGCTTGTGCTGACTCTTTCTCATCTTTGTGGGCTTTGAAGTTACTATTCTTTGGATTTTTTTCTTTTATCTTCTTTGATGCCCTTGGGGTTTGGTTGTGGTATAAGATGGGTTCTGCTGACTTGCTTCTTTTCCGGAAGATTTTTAGGGGGCCAAAGCTCTCCTTAGGACTCCTGGACTGCATACCATCATTCTAAGGGGCAGGTATCAGGCCCCTGCCTTTGTTCTCTGGCCTTTAGAGGTTAGAATCCTGCTGTGCTGGAGGGGCCAACATGTTCCTGGACTGCTGGTTACAACACTCGATGGGTGGTGGCAGCCAAAGCACTTCATTGGGTGCTGGCAGTGGGATCTATGCATATTCACATATGCCAGCAGCAGTGGCAGTGTGGCAGGTTACATAGGCTGAGGTAGGGCACTTGAAGGCATGAGTCTGGTGTCTTCCCTGTGCACAATCATGCTGGCAGCAGTTGCAGCACAGGGAGGGAGATGGGGCTGCTGGTTTCTATGCACACCCTTGCATTGGCAATGGTGCAGCAAAGGGGTGATATGTTCATGCCAGCAGCAGTGGCACGATGGTGTGCATGTGCACACACATGCCAGTGGCAAAGGGGAGGCAAGGTCCACCCATGTGCACCTGCCCCAGCAAAGCAATGTGGTGGGTGACTGTAGGCAAGTGCATTCCTGCAAAGTGGCATGAGGGAGGCAGTGGTAGAGGGTGGCAGGTGGGCTAGTGAGCACAGCCAGGTGCCGCCCTGCTGGAGCTCTCTTATGGTCAGGTGTGGTCTGTTACTGCAGAAGCTATGATAAGGGCCCTCAAGAGACACCCCAGCTGGGCATCCAAGGCTGCACTGAAAGTAGGCATGGCTAGGCTGGGGTTCCAGGAGAAGCTAGCATACGGCGGGGGCTCTCAGGTCAGATCAGCCCCAACTCATGGGCAGGATTGCTCTACTCTGTCCAAGCACCACAGTTCCCCTGTGACTGAAGTCTCATAAGGAAGTAAGGCAATCCTTGGAGTGTGGGGATCCCTGGCCATGCTCCACTGAAGATGCTCCTATACCAAACCCTCTGGGCTCTGTACCAGCTGGACTTCTGCCAGTACCACCTCACTAAGCAGCTCTCCCTGCCAGCTCAAGTGTCCATAGGGTCATGGGGTCTCCTGCTACCAAGATTCCAGAGGTCCATGGTGAGAGGCCAGTTGCTCCTCACCTGCTCAACTCATCCCTTCCCCAGGAGTTGTTGGGGACCAGGGACTAGTTGTGGTGTGTAGCAGCAGCCCTTTGCAGAGTTCCCAGTTTCCTCTCCATTCAGCCTAGCTTATTTAACCTCCCTCCATCTACTCTCAATGCCATCCCTCTGAATATGTGCTCAGAATGCACCAGTCTTCTGGATGCCCCATTCCTCTGTGGCAGATTTTCCTCCTTGCTGCATCTAGTCAGCCATATTGTCTCTCAATAAATCCTTTAATTTCTTAAAAATGTTTTACCATTGTTACCTATCAGTAACTGAAGGATCTGAGATTGGGGTATTATTTACTGGGGAGCTAATAAGGAAGCCAGATACTGCTTTTATGGATGATGGGAAAAGACATAAGACTCCTGGCCCAGAGACAAAGGGCTCTATTACTCATGCACTGTAAGAAGCATGAACATCAGCATATTTTTCATTACTTCCTCTTGTCTGCAAGTCCTACAGCAATGATGCAGGTAGGAACTGAATGTCTGAACATAGAGTAGCTTGTGTTATAGGAAAGAAATCCTGAGCTTAGTAAAACTATATCATTTACAATAGGTGGTAACCATACCTACCCTTTGTTCCAGAGGGAGATACTATATCTTCCAAGACTATTCACTATACAAAAATCCTGGAAAAGATAGTCTGGAACAAAAGACAGTCAGTGCCTCTGCTTGCAAGGCATGTAGAAGCACAAGAGATCCATAGGTAATTGTCTCCCCAGATTACCTTGATTTATATAATGACAACCTAATTTTGTTGGTACAAAGAATCTTCAGAGATTTTACTGGTGTCAAGTTTCTCATATAGTCATGAATATAAGGAAGGGTATGCTTTTTGTAGTGTAGGTTAAAGAAGACTATTAAAAAAAAGGTGCATATGAGTACTAAACCCCTTCTACTCAGTCATGCCACGCATGACCCCAAGTCTTAGGTTTTCTATCTCTTTTGACATCATAAGGCTTGGGGTAATGTATGGCATGAGAGAATATTATCATGAAGGTCAGAGGGGTTACCTAGAACCTGCATCTTAGCTTCCACTTATGAGCACTCAGCCAATGCCCAGGACACATCTCAGAACAATGAATTCTGAAACTGTGAATCTGGGATCCAGATGGCAGGACATTTTAAAGCTTCCCAGGTGATTCCAATGTGCAGCCAAAGGTGAGATTGAGCTCTGATTTCAATGCAAAGATAAAACCTGATTACTGGCCAGGCACGGTGGCTCACGCCTGTAATCCCAGCACTTTGGGAGGCCGAGGCAGGTAGATCACCTGAGGTCAGGCGTTCAAGACCAGCCTGGCCAACATGGTAAAACCCATAGCTACTAAAAAAACAAAAAACTTGCTGGGTGTGGTGACGGGTGTCTGTAATTCCAGCTACTCGGGAGGCTGAGGCAGGAGACTCACTTGAAACTAGGAGGCAGAGGTTGCAGTGAGCCAAGATGGCATCATTGCACTCCGGCGTGGGCAACAAGAGCAAAACTCTGTCAAAACAAACAAACAAACAAACAAAACACCCTGAAGGTCTATAGGAGATAACACTTATTTTAGGAGAGATTTTTAATGCCATTTTTCCTTCTTTATGAGGTACAGACTTTGAATACTTATCTTCAAATGCACAACAAAAACTTGAGGACAGATGACTAATTATTTTCGTAAGACAGTTTGTGATATTGCAGGCAAATTCTTCAGTAGTTTAGCTAATAACAGAGATAGTATTTAAATGTTCAAACCAAAGTTTCATGTGGGAGGGAAAAAGAGATATTTTAAACTTCAAAGTGAATATGATTTGCCCTGGAAGTCACAGCTACTGCAAAGCACTTAAAATTATTTCAGACAGCTAGTCTGTCGGATCACTGTTATAGCTAGGCATTCCTCACCCTATAATTTGGGGAAAGTGGGTACTGAAAGATAGAGAATTCACAGAGCTTAGCTTTTAGCTTTAGATGAAGAGTTACACTGTTGACTTTATACAAAAAATTCTATGTGCTTAAAGCATATCTTACAGAATGCTAGCCAACTCACTTTGGCAGAGATACATGCAGCTAAAATTGCTTCCCTTCTGACTAATACTATATATTCAGCATTTTCCTGATAGGCACACTCTTGGAAGAAGTCCTCAGATATACACTGAATTACTCTGTGAATAAAATATTTAGTCTCTTTAGAGCCCTTAAACAGAGCCTTGACTTATCGACTCCAAAGCTGCTGACTTTCTACAGTTCAAATCAGTAGACTTCCCACATGACCTTACCGTTAATGATAAGTAAAGCACTTAGCTACCCCTAGAAGACTATTATAAACTACCATAAAATGTTTAAAATGTCTTTTAGGAGGCATAAGTGAAAATGCTTCAAAATCCACTGAAGAAGTGTATCCACACAATCAAATTTCATTATAAGGTATGAGCAAAGACTGATAGAATGCTTACAAAATAAAATGCACAAGTCCCATTTAGGATTTAGCATGTTTAAAAACTATACCAAGGCTACCAAATTAACATGATGGCAAATGTAAAGATGATCTCAAATTGTGTTCATATGCTATTTTTTCCCAAATAATTCAAAACATTTTAAAGAGCATCAAACTATTAAATCAAAAGAGGTAGATTCTTACTAACCCCATTTTTTTTTTTTTTTTTTTTTTTTAGAGAAAGGAGATCACAAGAAATCAATTCATGGTCCAAATGAACTACTACTTGGAGCCAGTCAAATTTTTTTTTATACACTGAGGCCAGGTGATTTGGAAAAGGCAATTAAGTAAGTGTACAGTAAAAATAAGGAATATATACAGTATATGTAGTTGTCAATGAAAATCTGCAAACTCATTACCATCAAAAACACAAGAAAAGTTTGGTTATAAGAGTTAATCTTCTGGTAAATATTTAGTTAATCCTTTTTTAAAAAAAATTATCTTGCTTGCCCTTGGATTAAGAAAGACCATCAGAGAGCTACTCATAGAAATGCTGTTACAGGACAATACTTTGCTTTTTATCATTTTACTGACAGTGCAAATATTACTGACAAATGTTCTCTGATGACTATATCTCCAATACACTGTGTTCATACTCCATAAAAATGTTCTCTAAAGCCATTTTTTCTTAATAGATTACTTTGTTTTCATTTTAAAGATAGTTGTCAATGATAATTTATTCTTCTGCATTTGCTTCTTGAAAGCAGAATCAGTGAGCAATCTTTATAATATGCACACAGCCTACCTCTGGATTCATGTTATGATTACAACTCTTTTTCTCATTTGTCTTGATTTACTATAGTCATACAAAAATTTTTCTAGTTTAAAAGTAACATAAAGTAAAACTTTGAAAGTGGAAAAAGGAAAATATGTAAAATTCATGTTTTTTCTATTTTTTTGAGTCTAGATAATTTATAATGATACATCTTCATATTTGCTTTTAAGTAAATGTACATTTATATTACAGGGCAATGTACATTGTAATTTTGTAGATGCACATTTATTTTGTTTCTAGGAGGTTTTTTAAGTTACTGCTTTAACAGTTGTCTATTCCATTATTTTTCTCCTCTTGGTTTTCACTTACTCATATACTGGATCTCCTTTACCTGTATTACAACCCTATCATTTTGCCATTAATCCTCTTTGAAATGTTTACTTCTATTTTCTTTTGCTTGTTATTTGTACCATTTTTCTTACAATGTTTTTCTCAAATGATTCCTAATTACATCAACTTTTTAATTGACAAATAGAAATGGTATATATTTATGGTGTACAACATAATGTTTTGATATATGTATACATAGATACCCAGTAATGGGATTGCTGGATCAAATTGTAGCTCTACTTTTAGTTCTTTAAGGAATCTCCACACTGTTTTCCATAGTGGTTGTACTAGTTTGCATTCCCACCAGCTGTGTAAAAGTGTTCCCTTTTCACCACATTCATTCCAACATCTGTTATTTTTTGACATTTTAGTAATAGCCATTCTAAGTAGGGTAAGATGAGGTTTTATTGTGGTTTTGATTTGCATTCCTCTGATGATTAGTGATGTTCAGCATTTTTTCATATACCTGTTGGCCATTTGCATATCTTCTTTTGAGAATTGTGTATTCATGTCCTTGGCCCACTTTTTGATGGAATTGCTTGTTTATTTCTTGCTGATTTGTTTGAGTTCCTTGTAGATTCTGGATATTAGTCCTTTGTTAGATGCATAGTTTGTGAGGATTTTCTCCCACTCGATAGGTTGTCTGTTTACTCTGCTGATTATTTCTTTTGCTGTGCAGAAACTTTTTAGTTTAATTAAGTCTTATCTATTTATCTTTGGTTTTGTTGCATTTGCTTTTGGGTTCTTGGTCATAAACTCTTTGCCTAAGCCAAAGTGTAGAAGGGTTTTTTCCCATGTTATCTTCTAGAATTTTTAGAGTTTCAAGTTACAGATTTAAGTCTTTGATCCATCTTGAGTTGATTTTTGTATAAGGTGATAAATTATGAACCAGTTTCATTCTTCTACATGTGGCTTGCCACTTATCCCAGCACTATTTATTGAATAGGACATCCTTTTCCCACTTTATGTTTTTGTTTGCTTTGTTGAAGATCAGTTGGCTGTAAGTATTTAGCTTTACTTCTGGGTTCTCTATTCTGTTCCATTGGTCCACGTGCTTATTTTTATACTACTGTCATGTTGTTTTGATAACTATAGCCTCGTAGTATAGTTTGACATCAGGTAACATGATCCCTCCAGATTTGGTCTTTTTGCTTATTCTTGCTTTGGCTATGTGGGCTCTTTTTTGGTTACACATTAATTTTAGGATTGTTTTTTCCAGTTCTGTGAAGAATGATGATGGTATTTTGATGGGAATTACATTGAATTTATAAATGACTTTTGGCAGTAAGATCATTTTCACAATATTGATTCTGTCCATCCGTGAGCATGGGATGTATTTTCATTTGTGTTGTCAACAATTTCTTTCAGCAGTGTTTTGCAGTTTTCCATGTAGAGACCTTTCACCTCCTTGGCTAAGTATATTCCTAAGGTTTGGTTTGGTTTGGTTTTTGCAGTCATTATAAAAGGGATTAAGTTCTTGATTTGTTTCTCAGCTTGGTTGTTGGTGTACAGCAGTGCTACTGTGTACATTTGGTATCCTGAAACTTTACTGAATTCATTCATCAGATCGAGGAGCTTTTTAGATGAGTCTTTAGAGTTTCCTAGGTATACAATCATATGATCAGTGAACAATGACAGTTTGACTTTCTCTTTACTGATTTAGATGCCCTTTATTTCTCTCTCTTGTCTTTTTGCTCTGGCTAGGCCTTTCAATACTATGTTGAATAGAATGGTGAAAGTGGCCAACCTTGTCTTGTTCCAGTTTTCAATGGGAATACTTTCAACTTTTCCCTGTTCCATATAATGTTGGCTGTGGGTTTGTCATAGGTGGCTTTTATTACCTTGAGGTATGTCCCTTTTATGCCAATTTTGTTGAGGGTTTTAATCATAAAGGGATGCTGGATTTAGTCAAATGCTTTTTCTGAGTCTATTGAGATGATCACATAATTCTTAATTCTGTTTGTGTGATGTATCTCTTTTATTGTCTTACATACGTTAAAACATCCCTGCATCCCTAATATGAAACCCACTTGATCATGGTGTATTATCTTCTTAATATTCTGTTGGATTCGGTTAGCTATGTATTGCATCAGGATTTTTCCATCTATGTTCCTCAAGGATTGGTCTGTAGTTTTCTTTTTCTTTTTTTTTTTTTTTTTGTTATGTCCTTTCCTTGTTTTGGTATTAGGGTGATACTGGCTTCATGAAATAATTAGAAAGGATCCCCTTTCTCTCTATCTTTTGGAATAGTTTCAGTAATATTGGTATCAATTTTTCTTTTAATGTCTGATAGAATTCAGCTGTGAGTCCATCTGGTTCTAGACTTTTTTTGTTGGCAACTTTTTCATTACTGTTTAAGTCTCACTACTTGATTTTGGTCTGTTCAGAGTTTCTATTTCTTCCTGATTTAATCTAAGAGGGTTGGTTATTTCCAGGCATTTTCCATCTCCTGTAGATTTTCTAGTTTGTTCACATAAAGGTGTTCATAGTAGCCTTGAATGATCTTTTGTATTTCTGTGGCATTGGTTGTAATATCTCCCACTTTATTTCTAATTAAGCTTATTTGTACCTTTTCTCTTCTTTTCTTGGTTAATCTTGCTAATGGTCTATCAAATTTTTTATCTTTTCAAAGAAGCAGCTTCTTGTTTCATTTATCTTTTGTATTGTTTTTGTTTCTATTTTATTTATTTCTGCTCAAATTTTTCTTATTTCTTTTCTTCTACTGGCTTTGAGTTTGGCTTGTTCTTTTTTCTCTAGTTCCTTGAGGTGTGACCTTAGATTGTCTATTTGTGGTCTTTCAGACTTCTTGATGTAGACACATCCCTCATTGATGCAATGAACTTTCCTCTAGCACCACTTTTGTTGTATCCCAGAGGTTTTGATAAGATGTGTCACTATTATTGCTCAGTTCAAATAATTTTTTAATTTCCATCTTAATTTTATTGTTAAGACAAAGATCATTCAAGAGAAGATTATTTAATTTCTATGTATATGTATAGTTTTGAGGGTTCATTTTGGAGTTAATTTCCAGTTTTATTCCACTGTGGTCTGAGAGGATACTTTATATAATTTCAATTTTCTTAAATGTATTGTGACTGGTTTTGTGACCTATCATATGGTTTATCTTGAAGAATATTCTATGTGCTGATGAAAAGGATGTATATTCTCCAGCCGTTAGGTCGAATGTTCTGTAAATATCTGTTAAGTCCATTTGTTCTAGGTGATAGATTAAGTCCATTGTTTCTTTGTTGACTTTCCATCTTGATGACCTGCCTAGTGCTGTCAGTAGAGTATTGAAGTCCCCCACTATTACTGTGTTGCCATCTATCTTATTTTTTAGGTCTAGTAGTAACTGTCTTATAAATTTGGGAGGTCCATTGTTACGTGCATATACATTTAGGATTGTGATATTTTCCTGTTGGACTTATCCTTTTATCATTATAGAATGTCTGTCTTTGTCTTTTTTTTACTGTTGTTGCATTAACGTCTGTTTCGTTTAATATAAGAATAGCTAGTCCTGCTAGCTTTCAGTTTCCATTTGCATGGAATAACTTTTTCCACTCCTTTACCTTAAGTTTATATGAGTCCTTATGTGTGAGTCTCCTAAAGGCAGCAGATACTTGGTTGATGAATTTTTATCCATTCTGCTATCCTGTGTTCTTTAAGTGGAGAATTTAGGCCATTTACATTCAATGTTAGTATTGAGATGTGAGGTACTGTTCTATTCATCATGTTAATTGTTGCCTAAATAACTTTTCTTTTCATTGTGATATTGTTTCATAGGCCCTGTGAGATTTATGCTTTAAGGAGGTTCATTTTGATATATATTTCAAGGTTTTGCTTCAAGAATTAGAATTCCTTTTAGCATTTCTTGTAGTGCCGCATTGGTAGTGGTGAATTCTCTCAGCATTTATTTGTCTGAAAAAGACTATCTCTCCTTCATTTATGAAGCTTAGTTTTGGTGAATAAAAAATTCTTGGCTGACATTTATTTTGTTTCAGGAGGACCCCACTCCCTTCTGGCTTGTAAAATTTCTGCTGAGGAATCTGTGGTTCATCTGACAGGTTTAACTTATAGGTTCCTGATGCTTTTGTCTCACAGCTCTTAACATTTTTTCCTTCATCTTGACTTTAGATAACCAGATGACTATGTATGTACCTAGGTGGTGATCTTTTTATAATGAATTTCCCAGGTATTCTTTGGGCTTCTTGTATTTGGATGTCTAGATCTCTAGCAAGGCCAGGGAAGCATTCTTCCATTATTTCCTCAAATATGTTTTTGAAACTTTTAGATTTCTCTTTTTCCTCAGAAAAATAAGTTAGTCTTAGATTTGGCCATATAACATAAACTTAAATTTCTCGGAGGCATTTTAATTTTTTTCTGATATTTTTTTCTTAGTATATGTCTGATTGGGTTAATTTGAAAGCCTTTTCTTTGAGCTCTGAAGTTCTT
This sequence comes from Homo sapiens, assembly GCF_000001405.40. Classification (NCBI taxonomy): domain Eukaryota; kingdom Metazoa; phylum Chordata; class Mammalia; order Primates; family Hominidae; genus Homo; species Homo sapiens. The sequence continues at coordinate 89,806,986 of NC_000007.14, forward strand.
TCTACTTTTTCTTGTCTATTGTTGAAACTTTCCAGTGCATTTTGTATTTCTCTAAGTGTGTCTTTCATTTCCAGATGTTTTGATTATTTTTTCTTTATGGTATCTATTTCTCTGGAAAATTTTTATGCATATTCTGTGGTTTTTTTTTTAATTCTTTAAGTTGGGTTTCACCTTTCACTGGTATCTCCTTGAGTAGCTTAATAAACAACCTTCTGAATTCTTAATCTGGCAATTCAAAGGTTTCTTTTTGGTTTGGATCTATTGCTGGGGAGCTAGTATGATAATTTCAAGGTGTTAGAGAACCTTGTTTTTTCATATTACAAGAATTACTTTTCTGGTTCCTTCTCATTTAGATAGACTATTTCAGTGGAAAGATCTAGAACTTAAGGCTTGCTATTCAGATTCTTTTTTTCCATGGGGTGATCCCTTGATGTGCGCTCCTTCTTTCTCTAAGGATGGGGCTTCCTGAGTGTTGGACTACAGTGATTGTTATTGCTTTTCTGCATCTAGCAACCCAGGCTAGATGCAGGCTCCAGGCTGGTGCTGGGGAATGTCTGCAAAGAGTCCTATGATGTGATCCATCTTCTGGTCTCCAAGCCATAGATACCAGCACCTGCTCTGGTGCAGGAAACAGGGGAGTGAACTAGACTCTGTAAGAGTCCTTGGTTGTAGTTATGTTTATTGTGCTGGCTTTGTCAAATGTTTATGCTAGCAGTGAAGTTGTGACATGGACAGGCTTGGGAAATTCCGGCTAGCCTGGATGTTTCAGGCAGTAGAATTAACTGTTGTTTTCTCCTTCTTGGAATCAGGGTTATTCTGTCATGAGTTATGCTGTAATGGCCTGAGTTAGTTGGCTTCCAGCCAGGAGGTGCACTTTCAAGATAGCCCCAGATGCAGTAGTAGTAGGGGGATCTAAGCTTGCACTAAGTTGGCCAGCATAAGCATTGTGGTTCCTCAGGCAATGGGCATGGTCATAAAGCTCCCAAGATTTTATGTCTTTTGTCTTTGGCTACCAGGGTGGGTAGAGAAATACCATCAAGTTAGGGCAGAGTTAGGTGGGTCTGAGCTCAGGCTATCCTTGGGCAGGGCTTGTCACGGCCACTGTCTTTACCATACAGATCTCAGAAGTCACGCAGCAGCCATCCACATGAATCTACTGGAGGTAAACAATCTACAGTGGTACTTTTGCTTCCTGAAATCCTGAGAAAACCAAGCTTCTTTGAGCTCTCTGCTGGACCATTTCTCAGACCTCATTTATACAGTTCCAAGAGGCACATTTTACTAAATCTTCCCAAACAGCAGTATAAAGGTAAGAACAGAGTGAGAAAAGACCATGGCCTTGCTATTGATTAAGGGAAGTCCTAGAAAATACTAAACAATACTTTTGCTTATACACCATTGACAAGAATTATGTTATATGCTCACATGTTGATGTAAAGGAGCCTGGGAAATGTAGTCTTTATTGCAGACCGGCATGTGCCTACCTAAGAACAGGGGTTTCAATTATCTTGGAACAAAAGGAAAATGAATACTGTGGAACAAACTAGCACTCTAGTGCTATGCCAGAAAATGGATTTGGGTTACGTTTATACCATGACTGAAAAGGTATTTGAGTTATGTTTCTAACCCTTTCATTTGTCACAAAAAAAAAGAAAAAGAAAGAAGGAAAAAGGAGAACAGCAAAAAAAAGAAAAAAAAGAAAAAATAGACTAATAAATGTCCAGAAAGAATCTCAAAAGTAACAGTGTTCAATCTAGATGAATATATTCAACAGATGGAGAAAATTACAAAGAAAACAGAGCCATAAATTTTAAAAATAATTAGGATAAATTAGAAGTTGTAAAATGTAATAAACTATAATAAAATAAATTTGGTATTAAAAGTATTATAATTCCTTACCTTCTTGCATCCTATGACAAAGACAGTAGAACTCAATAGTGCTACATTTTTATAAGAACTAAATGCAAGTAACGTGGATAAAGACTACACCATTAATATGTAGTTTTATTGAATCTGAAATTATTTGCTCACTACTCCATTAAGAGGCTAAGTTATGATGGGGGACTAATGCTGGATTGGGGCAGGAAAGGATTGACAGAGTGGAAAATAAATGTTGGAAGGCAACCTGTGGTCACAATCATACTTTTTTATTACATCTCTCTGATTCTGACACAGTTAAAAATACACTCAGAATTTGAGAAAATAAGGCATAATTTCTAGATATCATTATTACAGCAGACAGACAATTATGCAAGAGCACTAACCAAAGCAATTATACTACCAGCATGGGGCAACGGCAGCCATTTTGCAAATCCATTTGCACCCTCCTTCCTCTCCTCAGGGATGCACTGAGGGCATAAATGATTTCTTCCACTCTTATTTCCAAATTATCTATATGATGATGAGTAAGGGCTGTTCCATTCCAACCTTACTTATCATCCCATTAAACAGTGGAAAAATGTGGACAGCAGGAATATTGAAAATTCTGTCTGCATTTACAATCCAATTTCCTACAAATAATCTTCCAGTTCTGGCTGAAAAGTCAAGCACAATGAGCTTCACATCTGGTGGATGCAGTACATCAAGTTACCACCCCACTCAGCACACAGGCTTTACTGCCAAATGCCAGAACATCCTGCAGCAGGAGCAATGGAAAGACCTACATTCTATTGTTTATAAACTCATTGTGTGGGAAAAGCGTAGTTAAGCTGGTTCTATTCTAATCATCTCTGATGGCACAGGGCAGGTGATTCCAAGATAATGGCACCTTTGAAATGGGTTTTATGGTGATGCAAAATTTATAATTTGTAATAGAAAATTACATTATGCTAGCTACTAGGTCATTTTTTCCACTTGGATAATAGTATTTTTATCTCTTCTGTTCTAATTTAGAAGTCAATGCAGTGTAAATAACTACAGCATTTGCTTATTACCATCAAATTCACAGAAGCAAAGATGATTAGAGTCAATTTTGTCATTTTTGAGTTAATGTGGTACAAGGGTATTTTAGTGTCTCTAACAAGTGTCAAAGAAACAAAAAACATCAAATACAAACATACCAGTTTTGAATTTTCTGCTTTTTGTATACTCTCCAAAAGTTTATTTAGGACATATCCAATATAGTTTACCATAAATAGTACAGATAAGCAAGCTGCTCAAATCCAAAGGGGTATTTTTTGAGGTAGTCAATGCAACTCAATTGTATTTTAAGACTATCTCTCTTGCTTTCTCTACATTGTAGAATTTATTAACTATTTTGAGATAATTTTATACTTACAAAAAAGGTTGCAAAAATAGTACAATGGAATTTCAGTAAATTTGTTTTCATGCCTCAGTATATGTTATTAATGTGAATAAGAAATAGTAACCAAAACAGCATGATACTGGTACAAAAATAGACACATGGATATATTAAAAAGAATAGATAATCCAGAAATAAAGCCACATACGTACTACCAAGTGATCTTTGACAAAGTTAACAAAAATAAATAATAAGGAAAGGAAACCCTGTTCAATAAACAGTGCTGGGAAAACTTGCAAGCCAAATGCAGAAGAATGAAACTGGACACCTACTTATCATCATCTACAAAAATTAATGTAAGATGGATTAAAAACCTAAATGTAATACCTCAAACTATACACATCTTAGACACAAAAACTAGAAAAAGCTCTTCTGGACATTGGCCTACTCAAATAATTTATGACTAAGTCCTCAAAAGCAAATGCAACAAAAACAAAAATTGATGATTGAGATTTAATTGAAGAGCATTTGTACAGCAAAAGAAACAATCAACAGAGTAAACAGACAACCTACAGAATAGGAGAATATATTTGTAAATTATGCATCTTCTGTAGATTAATATCCAGGATCTATAAGGAGCTTAAATAAATCAACAAGAATGAAAAACAAATAACCCCATTCAAAAGTAGGCAAAGGACATGAACAGACACTTCTCAAAAGAAGACATATGAGCAGCCAACAAACATATGAAAAAATGCTCAACATCACTAATTATCAAAGAAATGCCAATCAAAACCACAATGAGATACCATATTACACCAGCAGAACGGCTATTACTAAAAGTCAAAAAGCAATACATGTTGGTGAGGATGTCAAGGAAAGTAACACTTGTACACTGTTGGTGGAAATGTAAATTAGTTTAACCCCTACTGAAAACAGTAAAAAGACTTCTCAAAAAACCAAAAATAGAACTATCATTCAACCCAAAAATCCCCCTACTGGGTATCTACCCAGAGGAAAAGAAATTGTTCTATCAAAAAGATACCTGCACTCACATGTTTATTGCAGCACTATTCACAACAGCAAAGTTATGGAATCAACTTAAGTGCCCATCAGTGGAGGACTGGATAAAGAAAATGGGGTACATATACACCATGGAATACTCCACAGCCATAGAAAAGAATGAAATTATGTTCTTTGCAGCAGCAACGTAGGTGCAGCTGGGGGACGTCATCCCAAATATATTAACACAGAAACAGAAAATCAAATACTGCATTTTCTCGCTTATAACTGGGAGCTAAACAATAGGTATGCATGGAAATAAAGATGGAAACAATAGACACTGAGGACTCCAAAAGAAGGGAGGGAGGGAGAAGAGAAAGTGTTGAAGACCTACGTATTGGGTACTATGTTCACTGTTGGGGTGACGCGTTCAATAGAAACCCAAACCCCGACATTATACAATTTACCCTTGTAACAAACCTGCACAGATGCACCCTGAATCTAAAATTTTAGAAATACAAAATATAAGAAAAGAAATACCCAAATGTTATATTCAAGTAATATTTTCAGAGACTATTTAAAGGAGCCTTATCACAGACTTACATGAAAGGTGGGTATGGTAAGACATTATTTCTTAGCACTTAAAAAGTATGATGAATTGCTGCACCTAGTAATGGTTTTATGTGCCCCTCTAGAGAGGAGAAAGAAAACAAAAAACCATCACTTCAAGGAAGCTCTTCATTAACCTCATGAAGCTAACTCAGAATTAGCATTAAATGCCATCCTGGCCCAGAACTTCTTTTGCTACAATTTTGGGGCAATTATGTATCACTCTTCAAAGTGTTATGAAATTTTTTTTGGTTAGCCCAGAAACAGTTTATAACATGATACTACTTGACCATGGGGATGATACAACATAAATGTTAACTGGATTTTCCTGATAGAAGCAATGTCGCTTTATAATTTCTTTTATCAATTTCTCAGCTGTAGAAGCCATCTCCTGCATTTGTTACCTCTATTTGCTGATTATCTTCTATTGAACTAGCTTAGATGTTAATTTGAGAATGCATTCTGTTTGTTTGTGGAATAAACCAAATAGTACATTTTCTAATATAACATTTTACTTATAAATGAGTTAACATTTTGTTATATGAAACAGGTTTCTTTAAATCAAAGATACAAAAAGACTTTAAAAAAAAAAAACACTGTATGCTACATCCACAATAAATATTTTATTGCCTAGAGATACAAAACAATATTTTATTATGTCCACCAGTTAAGCACTTAAAAAAGTAAATCTGATGTTCTTCAAGATGAGCTGGCAGTCTATGGTATGAGAATACATAATTTTTAAACAGAAAAGATAAAATATATAAGCAATGATGCTACCGAAAAAAGTCAAAGCTATATCCTGTGTCCTCTACTGCTCCTTCCAAACTCCAATAAATGAAAATATTCCAATAGGCTCCCACTGAATATAAATATATGGAGATACATATATCTCCGTAAGGTTAGGAATGAAATTAGTTTAAGATTTCTTAACTAGTAGAAAAGAGGGGCTAGGAAACTTAGTAGAAGCTATCGTTTCACCTGTGGAGATCTGTGTTTATATCCTAGCTCAAACAGAAAGAAAAAATTAGTTTGATATTGACTTATATATCCCATAACAATCACCTGACTAACTCTAACTGCTTGGAAAATATCAAAGCCCAAGGCAGCACTATGCAAAAGCCCAATATATAAAACATTTACAAACAGTATGAGAATAATTATATTAATAACAATAATGTGAAAAATAATAATAAAGCACAAGGAACAGAAACTAAATATGTTTCATCTCCCCCTTTATTATCAATGGTATAAAAGTCAATTAACCAATTATCAAGCACCTTCTCTGTTCAACCATTTCTGTAAGAAACTGAGAGATATAAAGATAAATATGTACAAACAGAAGACTAACATAACTCTAATGTGACTCTCATTCCTAAAGGGTTATGCAACACTAGGTGGGGTTGCATTTATAGAACTTGAGCACTAAATAGATGACTGATTCTGAAGACCAGGAGAACTATTCCCAGTGTACAGCAGGGGCCATTGGAATGCATTTCAATCCACAGTGAACCTCTAAGATATGCAAAAATAACTCATCTGAGAAAAAAATGTTCTGATTGAATACAAAATTACTAGTTCACAAACATGCCTGAGCTGCACCATCAAGAAGGAGACTGTTTAATAACAGAGATTCTCGGGCACCACCTCAACTCTTTGGAATCTGCATGGAATTAATACTTGCATAAAGAAACACCATTTCACTAGATACCTGTGAGTCCTGTAGCATCTTCAGGCATTTTAAGCTAGGAAAGGCCAGGGAAGCAAATTTACCTACCCCAGGGATAAGAGTCAGGGAACTTACATCATCTCTGGGAACAAGAATCAAGTTCACTTAAGCAATATCTTACCAAGTTCTTCCAACTTGTTAGCTCACAGCCACTGGCCTGGACACTATTTGGTCACATGCAACAATATTGCTTCTCGGCCAATTTTAAGAAGCTGGCATTTTGAGGATTAAATGTGGAGGTTTCTGTGCCATGTCCTGTCTAAAGCACCACTGTACTAGTCCATTTTCATGTGACTGATAAACACATACTGGAGACTGGGCAATTTACCAAAAAAAAAGGGGGGGTTAATTGGACTTACAGTTTCACGTGGCTGGGGAAGCCTCATAATCAAGGCAGAAGGCAAGGAAGAGCAAGTCACATTTTACATGGATGGCAGCAGGCAAAGAGAGCTTGTTCAGAGAAATCCCCATTTTTAACACCATCAAATCTCATGAGACCCATTCTCTATCATGAGAACAGCATGGGAAAGACCCACCCTCATGATTCAGTCATCTCCCACTGGGTCCCTCCCACAACACATGGGAATTATGGGAGCTACAAGATGAGATTTGGGTGGGGACACAGAGCCAAACCATATCAACCACATATTGCCAAAGTTTAAGTGAATGTCACATGATAGAACTCACAGTGAACCGAGTGCTCCTAATTGAACAAGATGCCTTCACAGAGGAAAAAACCATAAAACATTAAACCTCTAGGTATTTTTTCCATTGTTCAACAAGAGAAGTCATATTGTCATATTGACTCAGTTGTTTTTAATGAAGATAAATAATCAAAACCCTCACTTTAAGACACTTTAAGTAGATAAAGCACCATAGGACCACTGACAATAACTGTCATTAGAAGGTTAGGGATAGTTGATTTACCCCACTTTCTAGAGAAAGAGATTTGTAACAGGGATATCCTTACACTGAGAGTTTTAAAGGAAAGTTAAGGAGAATACTAGCCAGGAGAGGAAAGTTAAGGAGAATACTAGGCAGGAGAGGGTGTTTGGGAGTCTTCAAAGTTGTGGATATAGAAACAGACATTTCTCACAAAGCATCTAGAGTGCCAACACCATAAACCCAGCCTCACCTACATTTTATCCCTTGGCAGCTTCATTTGTGTAAGTGGACGGTGGCTTCCAGCTGAATGAAACCATTACAGCTGAACTGGTGCCATGGTCAGGGTTCCACCTATGACCCTGTACCACTAGAATTATTAAACAGTAAAGACAAAGAATGCATATCTGCCAAATTTTTAGGTAATACAAAATAGAAGGATATCAAAGATATTGGTCCACTTTCTGAATTCAAAAATATAATAGTTTATAATGTTGAGACAAATATAGCAAGATAATCATAACAGAGTTAATTAGAAGGCCCTGTGTGTACCAATAGAAAGACAAAATCAGCACAACTGATCATCAAGGTATGAATTTGTAGTAGCACCTAAACAATACAAAGAAAATTTTAAATCAGCAATATGCCAACCCTAAGCAAACTCCAAAGTGGCACATTTCTCTTATTATAATTTATGAGAAGTACTTGGAAAAGAAATTACAACATAACCTATAACTTTCTTATCACACATTTATTTGTATTACTTGCTAATTTCTCTACAATATATTATGTTGAGGTGTTAGCAGTTGCCTTTGTACAGATATATTGACTATACTTGTATGAATTTAATCCCCACCTCTCTTATTTGCTTGAAGAGGAAGGACAAATTTATTTTTGGCAAGAAATTTAAAGCAAGTGATTCCTTATTTATTGTCTTAGTTATTAGTCACAGTTAGAAAATCAGTGATCATACGAACTTATCAATAAAATATTTTATTCATTGCTTGTATCAAATTGCTAGTGTATTTGTCTTCTGTATTTTTTAATATGACTTTTCTAAAATTGGTTCTCCTTTCTTAGATACAATACTTGCTGGAAAATTCAGGGAGGAAAAGGGAAAATATTAATATTTAAGTCATGAGGAAAGAAGATTCTTTACTCAAATTATCACTTTCCCACTCAGCAGCAGCCCTGAGTAATATATTCATTATAAACCAGCAGCACTGGATCTCTTTTAGTCACTTTATAACACTGACAGAATCAATAGTTAAAATTAGACTTCTCATTTTCATATCAGAGGAGACATCAACATTAGTTTCTATATTAAACATTCTGGAACTGTAGAAAGCTTTTTAAATTAATTTAAATGATGGATGCAGAATTGTCTGACCACTTATTTAATAGAAATTATGATTATCAACCAAATTATACTTTGGAAAGGCAATCATCTCGTCCCTGCAAAGCAGTAATACAGTTTCAGCCCACAAAAAGTACTATGTATGAAAAAGTATTTTACAGTACTTTTTATAGTTCTGAAGAGTATCACATTACCACTTGTCAACCAGCAATTGCATCATAATTCAACCTGCTGCAACTATAAAACTGTGTCTTGACTTGATTAAACAAAAGACACAGTATAGTGTTGTACATATATGTGTGCATACAGCAATTCTAGGAATGAAAATAATTTAATATGCTTAGCATCAAAACATACAATGAGACAAAAGCAGAGCATCTAATGAAAATAAAATAGATTCTACCTTTAATTTTCTATTCCACTTGGTGTCAGTTTTCTAAAGAGTATTTGTCTACAGACAAATCAGCTAAATTTTGACAGAGAGCTGATTTTATTTCCTTTATCTAATATAGCAAAGATCTGAAGAAGAGAGGAATACTATCCTAAAAGTGTTCCTCATGCTTCTTTCTATCACAGCAGTCCCCAACCTTTTTGGCACCAGGGGCCAGTTTTGTGGAAGACAATTTTTCCACAGATGGGGGCAGGAAGGGGTTGGTTTTAGGATGATTCAAGCACACTAAATTTATTGTGCACTTTATTTCTGTTATTATTACCTTGTAATATATAATGCAATAATTACACAACTCACCATAATGTAGAATCAGTGAGACTCCTGAGCTTGTCTTCCTGTAACTAGACTGTCTCATCCGGGAGTGATGGGAGACAGTGACAGATCATCAGGCGTTAGATTCTCATAAGGAGCACACAACCTAGATCCCTCACATGCACAGTTCACGATAGGGTTTGCAATCCTATAAGAATCTAATACCATTGCTGATCTGACAAGGGGCAGAGCTCAGACAGTAATGCGAGCAATGGGGAGCAGCTATAAATACAGATGAAGCTTCACTTACTCCCCCGCCACTCACCTCCTGCTGTGCTGCCATGTTCCTACTAGGCCACAGACCCTTACTGTAGGGTTGAGGATCCCTGCTCCATCAGGTCATGGCATTCATAGAAAATAGTAAGATATACCTGCCCTAATTCTCAGGGGCCATAGGAGTCTGGCCATGGAGCTATGGTTGTTCATCCTAAGTCTCACTGGTCACCCAACCAGGGCTGAGGGGTCACTATCTCAATGTATGTGTTACTTATCAGTGGTGAAATGGGTTGGGAGCATCTGATTTAGGTAATTGTGGGATTCACAAATGGAAGAAAAACTATGATAAATATTACAGAACAAGGAGAATTTCCCCAGATCCAAATTATAGAAAATGTTTTTGGAGGACTGATATGATTATTTGTAAAAATTTGAATTGCCAGGATGCTGGGAAGCATAGTAGTTATAAGGGAAGGTTTTGCCCTGTGAATGCCTTAGCTCAGAACAATTCCATCCCTTCCTAGCCATACAAATATGAGGAAGTTACTGAACTCCTCCAAGCTTCAGTTTTCTATTCTGTGTAATGGGGATAGTAATAGCACCTACTTCACCAGGCTGCTGCAAGGATTGAATAGCTTAATATGTGGTAGCCCTTAGAGGAATATTCAATAAATATATCTTAATATAAATACATTGAAATTAATTTTTTATTTTCTAACAATATCAAAATATGAAAAACTTGCAAGAAAATAGAAAGAAATGTTATTTTTGAGACATTTGAGAATAATCTGCTACATGAATATTAAGTATACTAAGTATATTATTTATTTTTAAATAAATTTTTAAACAATTTTACTGTATTTTTTTAAATGACATTCTCCTACTTAACTATGAAACAACCATTAATATCAGACAATTAGCAAAGATATGCTTCCACCATCTAATCCTCAGACCTCATTCAAGGATCAGCACTTGTCCCAGTAAAGTCTTTTATAAAGAATCCAGTTCAGAATTATATGTGCATTTGTTTTCATTCTCTTTTAATTTGGAGGAGATCTCAGTCTTTTTCTGACTTTCATATCTTGACACTTTTGCACACTGCAGTCCAATTATTTTGTCAAATGTTCCTCAATTTGGCTTCGCCTGTCATATTCTCACAATTAGATTCACGTTACCAATCTTTGGCAGGAATATCACAAAAGTGATGCTGTGTTCTCATTGCATCCTATAAGTTTGTACACACTTTGATTTGTCTCGTTAGTGGTATTGGTAACTGATTATTTTATCAGGTGGTATCTTTCAGCCTTCTCTAATAAAAAGTTAATCTTTTTTACTTTGGAGTTAATAAATATTTCAGGGGACATTATTATGAAACTATTCCATTTCTAATCAATCTTTCAATATAATCTTTTATTTATATCAGTATAGATTCATGGATTTATAGTCTATTAATGGGCTATAGTCAACTGCAACTACTACTTATTTTGATGCTTGAGCTCAAAAGAGATCATTTGATATGACCCAATCATTTTCTGTGCACTTTCTTGCTTTCTGGCATAAGATGTTCCAGGCTTATTTTGAACATTTTCTCCAACAGTCCAGGAATCAACCATTTTTCCAAGAAACATTAGTTTCATTTTAGTGCAGAATAATGTTTACAATCCAGTATCTCGCACTAGGGGTACTTGTTGGTAGAGGGTGTCACTTCTCCCAGGTCCTCTCAGTGGACAAAGTAAAGGAATACAATTTATACACACACACATACACATACACAGAGATATCTATATAGAATCCATAAGGTTACACAATACATTCAATTCCAATCCAACACCACACAGTTCATTCTAGTTTTTTATTTTTCCATATTTGAATATTCTTTGACGGTTAGAAACCTGGCTCCTCAATCATTACTAATATGGTCCAACCCCTGCACATAACCAATTTCCCATCACCACAACTACAATCACTCCCTTCCCCGACACAGATATTCTCCTCACAATGCTTAGTCTCCATTGTAAGGTGCCCCTTCTAGCAGAAGTCCATGTCACCCCTCTCATGTCTGACACTCCTCTTTTGGTTATCTTCCCATATAAATTCCCACCTTATCATCCCTGCTTGGGTTATAACACCCAACAATAGGCCATTCGCATGTGTGGATGCATCTGCACCATACGTGGTCTTCTACATTTCATTCTGGGCCACCAAAATCACCTCCATACTCCAGAATCAATGTCTATCTTCCTCAGTCCTGCCAAGTGGCTTTTGGACTAAATTATTTCAAGAAAGGGAAGAAAAGAGGAAGAGCAAGAGCTTGTAATGCTTAAAATATCTTGTGAGGTGCAAATGCTCTAATGGAGCTTAAAGTGCTTTGGAAGCAGGGAAGCATTATACAAAAATTAAATGTATTTGATTCTAGATAGTGCCCCCAGCACACACAGCTGCCTTCTCCTACATCATAGATCCTTAGAAAAACTAGAAAATAACTAAGAAAAGAAAAAGCTAGTTAGAGTGGATGGGTGGATATTAGATACAAGATAGATAGTAGAAAAAAGAAGGGGAATTTCTAGAGGACGACTAGGGAAATTACTCTCAATAATTTCTAAAACATGCACAGGATTGTACTTGAATAAGGAAACCAAAGTGCCTTAGATATGAGAAATGGATTGGAGGATCTAAAACCAAGTGATAAGTGAATAATTGGGACAGTGCAGGAGGAACAGTCAGATAGAAAACATCCTGTGTTCTATCCCCCAGCTCCATCTCTCCCAATAGCGTTGTCCTCCTGCAGGTAGGAACATTGAGTGTGGACTTGGTTCAGAGTCAGGACCACACATTGGTGGCTGGTGATGCCCAAGAAGAATGAGAACACCCTTCTTCTTATAAGGCCAGCCATACAATACCAGCTCTGGCTGGGCTTCTCTCTCCTCTGAATCCCATGAGGAGAGGTTGGAGCAAAACTGCCTCAACTCATCTCTCACCTTCCCCTCAGCATGAATCTCAAGTAAAAGATAAACATACATGCAGGTATCACCAACTTGTAATTTGCGAAAAAAAAAATCAACACCATGGATGTCATACACCAGAGAATAGAGGAAAATATATATATGAAAATGAAAGAGAAATGGGGAACAGATTCAGAAGTGCCTACACATTCTTTTGCTATTCCAACACTGAGGAATATGAAGAAAGAAAAGAAATAAGAGAACTTCCCAGAACTGAGGAAAGTCAGGGTACTCATGTTGTAAAGGCAACTAAGAGTAGAAGGGTACTTCCTAATTAATGTGATATAACAAGTAAGAGATACTAATGTTTAGCAAGGAAGACATGCAGAAGATGTGATTGATTATCTGAGTATTGGCAGAAAATATCAGGAAACCAGGACCTGTGTACCACTGGGCAGGGCAGGCGAGGGAGGGATGGACACCAAAATCAGGGCAGTTTAGTTATGTCTAAAAGATATATGTTATGACTCAGAAAAGGTTGTATAACAAGATTATAACATTAAAAAAATGTGTTCTCTTCTCCTATTTTGATAAGTATACCTTCATTGTCATAAAATTGGAAACAGGCATAATGCTACATCTTTTGATTTACTGAAAGTTAGTCAAATACCAAGTGGCTAATTTAGTTATTATTGCCATGGTCTAAATAGTCTCTTAATGGGTGAGCAACGTTTGAATCAATAGCATAAAGACATAATAATTTATAAATTATTATATGTACTTTTTTATTCCATAAAAGTAATCTTTCTCGCTTTTGCTTCAGTAAAATTATTAGACCATGCTATAATCTAGATTTTCACACAATTTTTGTTCTGTTGATATTAATGTCAAATTAGATATCCTTCTGACGCCACTGTAGTGTTTACTTAGTTTTTATTCATTGTAATTTGGAGTAATTGTTCACCGCTGAAAATATATAAGCTGCAATTATCATAGAATTGATAAATGATAATATATAGGTTAAAAATGAATAATACATTTTACATCCAGTTTTACATATTCAAACACTGTAATAGACTACATACAATAAATTATAACTGTTGTAGAAAGTATTATAAAATATTTTCATTTGTTGTATAAATCACTACCCCATTTAAGTGTCATAATTTTCCACAACACTTAAATCAATATCTAGGCTCATAAAAATGTTTTTAAGTTCTTTCTTCCAGTTTTTCAATGCTGAAGCATTATAAAGAAAAACAAATTAAAAATCAGTATGCTGTACAATTTGGTTAAACCTCCCTTTGAGATTATACCTTGATTTAGAACAACCAGAAATAATCTCAATAAAAATTAGTTTTTTGAGTCTATGTGTACTTTGAAGAAAAAAGTTAGTTTTAGGCTTATTTGTTCATAAATCTTTTCCTTTATAGTCACATAATTTTCATTATATTTCATACAAATGTTAATTTTTGCATATGTCACATAAACTTTCTATTAAACCTTTCTGTAAATTAAAAAAATTCTAATTTTTGAAAGATGAAATATTGACACATATTTGGTACACTTTTGCTAACATTTTCAATAATGAGCAAGAGTTTATAATCAAATGACTGTGAACAGTACATATTCAAAATTAGTTTTCACCCAAAACCATGGTTTGCATTTATTTGAAGATCTACTATTGTTTCAAATAACTATTCCACTGCATTTTATTCACATCTCATCTAAATTAAACATAATTGCTTTAACAGTGTTCAGTTGACATTCTCATCATGCATCAACAGGCGATTTCATGTCAAATCTGATATGTGATTCATCAAAAGGTTCAATCTTTGGGCACACAGATCAGATGTGATCTTTGACTTGCTCCAAGGAAGAGCATCACTCCTGGCATAGGTGAGGCCATAACCCATGGGGATAAATTAATAATGCGCTGCCAAATAGGTCATGAAATGTTTGCAAGTATGTAATATATGTTCTGGCCTAAATACCAGTCATGTTAGCATCATTATTACAAGTTTACTTGTAATCATGTTTTAAGCTAATGCTCAATGTTCAAAATTGTTTTCTTGTTTTTCCTCAGGTTGAAATTTACACTTTCTACAACAGATGTATAGTCAATGAAATAGTCATTAATTTTGGATTTCTTTATTTCTGGTCTTGGTGGTTAAATCATATGCATAATAAAAGTTTGCTGTTTAGAATTCTTATTTTGTGCATTCTCATTTGCTGAATATGCACTTTATAAAATTATATTTTTAATTTCTTCTCTCACTTGATTTCTCCCAAAATTACCCATCTATTTTTATTTCTCCATCTAGGCACCATTTGTTTTATTATGTTTGTATTTTTATCCGTCTTACATGATTAGCCATTCTAGCATCATATTTTGAAAACATTTCAGCTACATCCAGACATTTTCCACCTATGAATGCTACAAAAAGAATCCTTATTCTTAGCTAAATATTGGACACATATTAATCTTTTAAAAACTTCACACAAATGTTATCAGTGTTCTTGGGTCTTTGTTGAATATAATCAATTATTTACTCTTTTTTTTCACTACATAGAAATAACTGTACTCCAGATCTCTCTCTCTCTGTATGTGTGTATATATATTATCTATAATATATAGTATATATATCTATATCTATAATTTAATTTATTTTATATAATATATACATTTTATATATAATATATAAATTTTATATAATATATAATATATATTATAGATAATATATATATACACACATACACAGATGGAAGCATAAATATAAAAATTGGTGGAATTTTTAATGAGATCATATTCTAAATAATGAATATTAAATTTAAATTCATTTGAGTTTAAGAGAAATAAAATTGGAGAGATATTATGTTCCCAAAGATTTCTGTAACCTTAAGACAAAAAAAGCATTAAAAACTTTTTAAATTCTGTAAATACAGATGTGCCTTGCTGTGTGCAGGTGATACTTTATGTTTTTTAATAGAGAAAGTAATTGTTTCCAGTTACCTATACTTCAATGACCAAAGCTTATCTTGAAAATAAAGTATGAAACATATAACGCAAATTACAAAACACTTTGTCTTTTAGCTGACAACAAAAAGCCATCTTCTAGCTTACTTCGCCATTTGCAAATCATGTTATATAAAATAAAACATAAATTCCCTGTGATATTCACCTAATGGAAAGTTGTAAATATTAATTTGTTCGAGACTTTTATTTTGCTATAAATATTCTTAGGCTGTATGAAAGATGTGACAGCCATTTTTTAGTATCATCTTCCAATAATCAGAGAAAATGGACTCATTTTTCTTCTCCAACTAGCCAACTTCATGATGGTAATTCGCCTTCTCATGGTTGGGCAAAGTTGCATTTATTGATTCGGATTTGTGAATTCAACATAAATAACTCTTTTTTCTCATGATTTTTATCAATAACTAAATTCTTCATTTAGTAAAATAGATATAAATCAAACAGTTCTTATCTAATATGCTTAAGTTACAGGTTTGCATTTGGTAAGGTTAATTTTTGGTTCACTTTTATTGTTTGGATCAGTAACTGACTTTCAATGAATAACAAATCTGTACTGTCCTTTAGCAAATTTTACATGGTTCAGGCTTTTACCAGCATAAAATTTTCACTTTATTTCTTTATTGTTCTAGGTTTTTTTTTGTTTTGTTTTGTTTTGTTTTTTTTTTTTTTTTGAGACGGAGTCTCACTCTGTTGCCCAGGCTGGAGTGCAGTGGCACAATCTTAGCTCACTGCAACCTCTGCTGCTCGGGTTCAAGAGATTCTCCCTGCCTCAGCCTCCAGAGTGGCTGGGATTACAGGCGCCTGCCACCACACCTGGCTAATTCTTTTTTTTTTTTTTTTTTTTTGGTAGTTTTAGTACAGATGAGGTTTCACCATCTTGGCCAGGCTGGTCTTGAACTCCTGACCTCGTGATCCACCTGCCTAAGCCTCTCAAAGTGCTAAGACTACAGGAATGAGCCACTGTGCCTGGCCCTATTGTTTCATCGTTTTAACATATTAATCACACTGCCTCTTTGAAAATTTTTCTCCTTTTTTCTTTTCAGTTGTGCTTTCTTTCTGCACTCTATTTTTTATTAGCTTGGCCCTACTTATTTTTAATGAAAAAATTAAAAATGAAATGAAATTATATTCCTAGGGTAGAAAAGTTTAATATATTTTCTTTCCAGATATTTATAGTCAATATTTATAGACTCATCCAAAACTCACTAATTAAAATAAATGTAAAAAATAATTCCTATATGTGAAAAGCTACTTTTAAAGTATTTACAATTAAATGCTAAAATTAAGATAAAATGAGAACTTTAATTTTTAAATCAAAATTATTTAAATAAAACCAACATTTACATTTAGTTTCTGAATAATTAAATCCTATTAAATATTTTTTAAAAATAACATTTTTCTGAGTCTTACAGTTTAAGATCCAGCTAGTGACCAATGTAAATAATCAACATCCTACATCACCTGTGACACAGCTGGATTTTATAACAGCATTGTAGATTGTTTAATACTATAAAATGTTTCCCAGGCACCATCTAGCACTATTGTGATTACTGTGCTAATTTATTGCACCTTGATTGGAAGAGGACGAACAGAAAAGAAAAAATATGCACTTAGGGCTATCGAAAGCAATATTTTATTTTGAAAAAAACTATTAAATATACTCTCTGGCCGGGCGCGGTTGCTCACACCTGTAATCCCAGCACTTTGGGAGGCCGAGGCAGGCGGATCACGAGGTCAGGAGATGGAGATCATAATGGCCAACATGGTGAATCCCCGTCTCCACTAAAATACAAAAAAATTAGCTGGGCGTGGTGGCGGGCTTCTGTAGTCCCAGCTACTCGAGAGGCTGAGGCAGGAGAATCGCTTGAACCTGGGGGACGGAGGTTGCAGTGAGCCCAGATGGCGCCACTGCACTCCAGCCTGGTGACAGAGCAAGACTCCATCTCAAAAAAAATAAAAAATACATAATAAATAAACAAATATAATCTCTAAGAAGAAGAAATGGACATTCTCATTAATTTATCCTTCCTCTTATTTTAAGGATTCTATGGATAAAATCTTCCCCAAACTCAGAGGCAGTGTTCATGTCTGATATGGCAGCAGCAGCACCCACAGTGTCATTTCCTCAGGGAATACCTACCTTTTGTTTGTTGGCACAGGTCAAGAGCCGTGGAAAGACATTTCCCCGGGGCCCCAATTGGGTTAATCATAAAATGGATGCTTGAGATATAATTGCTCAATGCCATCCCTTAGTACCAGATCCAGAATGATAAGTGCCCTGAAATTCTTAATAAATTTATTAATTGGACTTCTGATATGTGAGGCCAAGGGCAGGGGCACTTATTTTCCCTAAGGTACCATAGAAAATATAATTCAGTAATATATCCATTCTAAGCAACAGTTAAAAAGAGATATCTCTGTGTACTAACACAGAACATTCATCAAGATATTTTGTTAGGTGAAAAAAAATTGTTACAAAATATATGTATAATACCATTTATACACATTTTAAATAAAAATGACATATTTCTATGTATTCTGCATATGTACATAAACAATAGAATTATAGATGCATATGAAGCAGATTATTATCCTAGAGAAGGTGAGGAAAACTGGCTAGGAATAAAACAGGAAACTTAACTTTATCTACAATATTTAAGTTTTCATAAGAAAAATGCATTAATTATTCACTATATTATTAAAATTTGAAAATTTCCCTTCAAAATGAAATGTGTTGGAAAACTTTTAATTCGTAAGTTTGACAATATGAATGTTACATCATGCATATATGTGGTTCAAATCATTAATAGACTGCTCTTAGAGCTGTTATATTCTTTCTCATTCTACTTGATGTTATGTATTTCAGAGTTCCTTAAAATTTGAATACATCTACTAATATGATTCTTCATTACTCCATCAGATGGAGACTTTAGTAGTTATCTGGATGTGCCCTTTTTGATATAAAATATATTTTTATTATAGAAAAACAATCCACAAATATTCATATTGTGTGCCAAAAGTTGTGCTGAATAATTTTTTATGTTAATTTCATTTAATTCTTATAACAACTCTGTAAGAAAATGTTATCATTTTTACAAATGAGGGAACTGAGGGCTGTGGTAACAAATGTTGTCAACAAAGAATCCAGAGTGAGAAAATGTAAACGCCAGAGAGCTGGAAATATCAAGACCTAAATCTAATAGGTTCTAGGTAGGCAAAAGGATGAGGTAAATGCACAGCAAGCATGGAACAAACTCATTTTGGATTTCGATAGTATAAGGAAAGAGTTATCAAAAGAGAAAAATGTTTACCCACAATGTCTAAGTTTAGTTGAGCTGGATTCATCCTGGAGAAAAAGCTGAACAAATGTGTATTTTAGGCACGAACCTAAATAAAGTAGCTATAATGCTTCCCAAATTTAACAGAAAACAGTCCCAGAGAAGGGTGTACTAAGAAGTAGAATAAGTAAATAAGATTTAGTGCAGGAAGGAAAAAGAGGAACACTGAATGGATCAGCTTTCACACCTTCTGGATGGCCAGACAAGATAGGCTTTTTTTGTTGCAAAACAGCAGGCCTGGAATACAGACCCTTGTAAGGTTCCACAGGCTTAAGCAGCTTGATATCCCCTATGCAAAGCTGCTAGTGCTTAACAGATAGTTAATCTAATGCCAACACTCAACATTGTTTCAGAAGTCCCAGAGAAATCTCATTGAAATTTTAAATATGTAACACAAAATACAATCTAAAACTAGTAGTTAAACAAGGTTAGAATTTATAGAATACCTCCAATGTTTTCAAAGTGTTTCCATCTATCTAATTCTTGCTTAAAGGTGTACTTTTACTTATTTTCCTAGAGAAAGGTGTGCCCTTTCATTATTATTTTAGTGTGTGGATGTATACTGCATATTATATATCAGTATTTTTTTTCCTATGTAACATACATTATCTTTCTCTTCCACTTGGAAGGCTCTGATTTACAACAAGACATTTTTACCATCTTGTGTCAGCAATATGAATTGCAGGCAGAATTTAAAAACCCAGTGAAAAAATAACAAGCCTCAGAAGGTTAGATGTGGAAGAAGACCTACATGCTTTCTAAAAAAATACTGCCACAGTCAGCACCACTATGCTACCAAATTTCACAGAAAGCTCAAGATATACAAATGAGTTTCTGATTCCCAAAGTGATTGTGAAAAGTGATCCCGTGACAAGCTGAACATTTTAGGTGATATTTTCTTTCCCACCTCTAGAGTCCATGCATGCTCTGAATGGATACCAACCACAAAACTCAAGATTGTTAACTGGGGACTACCAATACTGCCACACAACTCAAGGAACAGAACACCATGAGGATGGCTGAGACTAGAAAGTGGGTGGTATCTAGAAATAGGTTCATTCTTTGAAGATAAAATATGTCTTCAGGATAGAGGCATACTTCCTTTTATTGCACCTTCCAAATATTGTGTTTTCAACAAATTCAAGGTTTGTGACAACCCTGCATCCAGTGAGTCTATGGGCATCATTTGTCCAACGGCACGGGCTCACTTTGTGTCCCTCTCTCATATTTTGGTAATTCTCATAATATTTAAAATTTTCAGTATTATATCTGCTATGGTGATCTGTGAATAGTAATCCTTAATGTTACTATTATAATTGATCTGGAATGTCCTGAAGCACACACACAGAAGATAGTGAACTTAATTGATAAATGTATGGGTTCTGACTGCCCCACTGGCTGGCTGTTTCTTCATCTCTATGCTTCTCCTCAGGCTTCCCTATTCCCTGACACACGATAATATTGAAATTAAGCCAAGTAATAGCCCTATAATGACCTCTAGGTGTTCAAGTGAAGAAAAAGCCACAAGCCTCTCACTTGACATTAAAAGCTAAAAATAACTAGACTCAGTGAGAAGGCACAAATAAACCCAAGATAGTCCAAAAGCTAGGCTTCTTGCACCAAACAGTTAGCCAAGCTGTGAATGCAAAGGAAAAGTTTCTCACAGAAATTAAGTGTGCTACTCCAGTAAACAACAAATGATAACAAAGTGAAACAGCTTTACTGCTGATATGGAATAAATATTAATAATGTTAGAGGTCTGGATAGAAGATCAAACTAGCCACAACATTCCCTTAAGCCAAAGCCTAATCCAGAGCAAGGCCCTAATTCTCTTATATTTTATGAAGGCTGAGAAAGGAAGCTACAGAAGAAAAGTGTGAAGCTATCAGAGGTTGATTTATGAGGCTTAAGAAAGGAAACCATCTTCATCGTATAAAAGTGCAAGGTGAAGTAGCACATGCTTGCACTTCATAATATAAAGGTGCAAGGAGAAGCTGTAACAAGGTATCCAGAAGATCTAGCTAAGATCATTTATGAAGGTGGCTACACTAAACAACAGATTTTTCAATGTATATGAAACATCCTTCTATTAGAAGAAAATGCCATCTAGGACTTCCATAGCTAGAGAGGAGAAGTCAATGCTTAGCTTCAAAGCTTCAAAGTACAGGTCTTCTTGTTAGGGGCTAAATGCAGCTGGTGACTTTAAGTTGAAGCCAATGATCATTTATCATTCCAAAAATCATTGGACCCTTAAGAATTACACTAAATCTACTCTGTCTATGCTCTATAAATGGAACAGCAAGCCTGGATGACAGCATATCTGTTTACGACATGCTTTACTAAATATTTTCAGTCAGCCTTGAGATCTACTGCTCAGAAAAGAGATTCTTTTCAAAATATTACTGCTCATTGAGAATGGACCTAGTCACCCAAGAGCTCTGATAGAAATTTACAATGTTTTTATGCCTGCTAACAAAAGAACCATTCTGCAGCCCATTGATAAAGGAGTCATTCTGACTTGCAAGTCTTATTATTTAAGAAATACACTTTATAAGGCTAAAGCTGCCATAAATAGTGATCCCTCTGATGGATCTGGGCAAAGTAAATTGAAAACCTTCTAGAAAATATTCACTATTCTAGATGCAATTAAGATCATTCATGATTCATGGGAGGAAGTCAAAATATCAACATGAACAGGAGTTAGGAAGAAGTTGATTCGAACTCTCATGGATGACTTTGAAAGGTTCAAGACTTCAGTGGAAGAAGTAACTGCAGATGTAGTGGAAATATCAAGAAAACTAGAAATAGAAGTGGAGGCTGAAGATGTGACTGGATTATTAGAATCACATGATAAAACCTGAATGGAGGAGGAATTGCTTCCTATGAATGAGCGAAGAAAGTGTTTTCTGAGATTGAAACTACTCCTGGTAAAGATGTTTTGAACATTGTTGAAATGACAACAAAAGATCTGGAATATTACGTAAAGTTAGTTGATAAAGCAGCAACAGGACTTGAGAGGATTAACTCCAATCTTAAAAGAAGTTCTACTCTGGGAAAAAATGCTATCAAAAAACATTGCATGCTACAGAGAAATCTTTCCTGGAAGAAAGAGTCAATCAATGCCGCAAACTTTATTATTGTCTCATTTTATGAAATTGCCACAGTCACCCCAGCCTTTAGCAACCACCATCCTGATCAGTCAGCAGCTTTCAACACTGAGATAAGAACCTCCATCAGCAAAAAGATTATGCCTTGTTGAAACCTCAGGTGATTGCAGCAGTTTTAACAATAAAGTATTTTTAAATTAAGGTATATACATTTTTAGACATAATGCCATTGAACATTTAATACACTCCATTATAGTGTAAATATAACTGTTATATGCACTGGGAAACCAAAAAATTCGTGTGACTCACCTTATTGCAATATTTGCTCTATTGCAGTGTTCTGGAACCAAACTTACAATATGTCTGAGCTATGCCTGTACACATATTCTAATTTTGTGGTAAATGTATAAAATTCTAGGAGAAAAAATAGCTTTGGAAGACTTTTAGCAAGTTAGTTTTATTTCATCTTTATCACATCAGAGGGCTAGGGATCATAAAAATGGTTGCAACTTTCTTATTACTTATATAGAAAACCTTTAGCGGAAAGATTCAAAATGTCTATACGGATAATTATATATTTTTAATACATGATTTTACTTACCTCTGTGACATTTATTAAAGCTTAATGTTAATATGTTTTATAAATCCATTGTAACTTCTTGTGGCAGTCTACATTTAGTCCTCACCCCTTACAGTCACTGAAAAATTTAGCCAAAAATAACTAATGCTACATAAGCATATGGCTCTATGGCATAATAAAAGGAAAATCTATGTCATCCATGGATTTCCCACTAGGTTTTGAAGCTCTGGCTTTCAAGAAAATCTTCTTAACACTGTATTAAACACAACCATTAGTATTATCTTTGGAAAATCAAGCATTATTTAGACCATCAATCAAATTCATAGGAAAATCTCACAAACATTATCCCTAAAATAAAAAAGCATTTAAGCACCTAATCATGCATGAAGCCCTCAGTGCTAAGAAAATTAATTGTATAGCTCTAGGTCATTGACCTGTAGTAGTTTTACAACCTGAAACAGATCATGTCCCTGTCCCTGTAGGTCTTGTGGTTAACAGAGAAGTAATAGTAGTCTTCAAGGAGTTTAGACCTTTACATGATTTCATGGGGAAAAATTAGAATAAGTATCTGCAGGTATTTGGGACATTCCTTTGTTTTCTTGTTCAAGAATGAAACAACCAAAAATCAAGAGAAATTTATCTTTTCCATGTAATCATGTGATAAATACTATAGAATAAAGGCAACTGGGCCTTCTCCAGTATGGAAATTTCCCGGTACTAGATGTAGTATTGTATGCAATGATGTACAGTCTTCCGCAGATTTACCACCACAACTATCCACACCTAACCCCAGTATACAGAACAAGTATTCCCCCCTCATTGAATTTATCACTATTGCAATTAATTCATGGAGTACTTTCTTCATTGAATGTTTAGTGTCTGTTTCCTCCTGTTTGTCCACAAACTCCATAATTCCTATTATCTACTTGCAAAGCTTAGCACATGGTAGTTGTTCTGTAAATGTTTCTGGAACAAAAGAAGGGAAGAAGAGTAAAAAGGAAAAAAGAGAACTCTGACCATAAAACATGACATATAATTAAAAGAAAAGACTCTCTAATATTCAGCAAATACAGAGCAGCTAGACTAACATTTAAGCACTTTGAAACCGTCAGTTGACAAATTTAAGCCATAACCACTGACAGTTTCTCATTTCCTGAGAAAATGTAAGACACAAATTCTTAGCCTGCTTTAAACCTTAAAAGGTCCCAAAACATCCTTTTCAATTGTCCCATATCAAATCTGCCTCCCTTAACTGGTGCTGTCTTGGCTGCCTGGTTACTGAGCTGTAATCTCCTCATACCCCATTTTCTGAGAAGCCCTAGCTAAGTTACAATGATTGCCTGTATAAATTAATCTCCACTGCAATAACAAAGGCAATCCCGTCAGCAGTTGACATTCTGGCTTTTAATTCACTGAACAACTTTTTGTTTGTTAATCAAAGCTGCATCTCATCCCATTGAGGATGTGATTTGTCTCTGCTTCTCTGGGTCGTGGTGTCCCTTACGCCAGTGCTGCTCAAAATGTGATCCCTGGGCTAGCATTAGCACCTTCTGGGAACTCATTAGAAATACAGGCCTTTATGCTCAGTCTATTGAAACAGAATATCTGGCAACGAGTCCAAGGACTCTGTTTTAACAAGTTCTTCAGAAGATTCTTGTGTATGCTGACTTTGAGATGCATAGCTCTACACACTACTGTAATACTAGTCTGTGGCATAGACATTAGTCCCTCATACTTTCTTAGGTACAGTTTGCATTAGGAAAACATGAATCAGCTAGCATAGACATTCCAGTACCCTCTCTCGCTATCCTGCCTCTTCACCAGCCTCCAGTGGGAGTAGTGACTTAAAGCATGCATTCTGGACTTGGATTGCTGGCATTTGATTCCCGCCTCTACTATCTGGTAGCCGTGTGACCTCAGGTGACTTATTCAATCTCTCTGTGCTTCAGTCTCCTCATCCATAAAAGGCAGGTAAAAGGAGTATCATCTCATATGGTTTTAATAAGAGTTGAATGAGTTAATATATATTTAGCTGCATAGAAAAATGTGACATATACTAAGGGCTATATTTATTAAGATAGATTTAACTGATTTAAAAAAGTTCTTGTTTTCTGTCCAAAGAGCATGATTATTTCACCCATCATCTTTGCTCTGGAAAACAAATCCATGTAAATGTCTCATGCAAGCTGAAATCTGGTCTTTATGACAGATACAACGGTTAGACTCTTTAAAAGCATTTTCCTAGTTTGAAGTGTGGGATACAGTATTATAATGGAAAAAAATACACCACTATTTCTTTCTTTTATGAATATATTTCTTACAAAATTAGTTATAAACATGCCATGTCTGTCATGAAATGCTGATACACAAAGATATTACTGGCTTTGCAAGGTATCCTCTTGTGTGATTCAAATATATACATTAAATTGTCAGGTGGCCTCCAAGAAGGAAGTGAAGGAAACCTCTACCAGGCTGATTTCTATTCTTGATAAAATAAAAATACAGGTAAGAACCCCATTATAATGAATTCCACTGGAACTTTAATTTGCTTTTGCTTTAATTAAATTTTGTTTTTGTGACTATATTGCTAGAAATCCTATCCCTAGTAAGTAGAAACTAGAGATGAAACCCATCTGATAGGTATCCTCTCTGGTATGTATTAACAAGTGAAAAGGAATATTTTGAACCCACTTGGGAAAGAAAAAGTTTAATGAGCTCACCACCTTGCACCCTTTTCTTCTCCAACTGCTGCTGGTCTGGTTTATCCTTAGACAGTGTTTTTAGGTCCTGTAAGCATGAACATGGGTGTATAATGTACTTGGCTCATTTTGGGTTTTGCTTTTTCTTTCTTTTCCTTTTTTTTTTTTCGAGTAATGAGGAGAACTACAGTTGGAAAGGGGGAGAAAGAAAACTGAATGCCAATTGCTACTTAATTCTGTCAACATAAAGAATTATTAGAGATTTTTAAACCCTTCTATTTCCCTCACTTCCCTTCCTTCATTAAAAGCAGTATATTTGGACATGGCTAGTAAAAGTGAAGAGGCATAAAAATACCGAACAGGATCACTTGGAGGGAGAATATTTGTAACAAGAACATCAAGGCATTGGTGGTTTGGGCCACATGCAACTACATGGAAATCTCTTTATTTTCTGAAATGCTTATTTATGAGGAAAGGTTTATGTATGATTGACTGGTTCTGTGATATCCAAGTCTGTACCTCAAATTCCCTATTTAGGCTTTATTATTTCACATATTTAAGATTCAGTACTAAGTTATATAGTCAATAATGGGTATTTGCCAAATATATGTATGTACGTATAAATAATATATATATGTGTTTTATAAGTAGTGTATATATCAGTTTGATTCTCAACAGTGGATTCTTTAACTCTGAGTTTTCAGTTTCATTGGTGTTAATTACTGTTAAATGGAGCTAGATAAGTAAAATATTCTATGTCTATCTGATTTAATCCGGATATTTAACTTCAAGCAATATGTCATAAGAAAATAAATTATAATGAGTAAAACAATATATACCTGAGTAGTCCCACTTTGATGTTATTTATGAGTGAAAAAGGAATATAAAGTTCTTGTCCAACAGTAAAGAGGTGACTTAGATTAACTACAGACAAACATGTAATGGGGCATTTGTGGTAATTAAAAATTATGCTTATGAATACTGTAAATCAGCATGGAAGCCAATTACGCTATAAAGAAAAAACTAGGTTACCAAATTGTTCATTTCATGAGACTAAAAAATGAGAGGTATATGAAAAAAAGATAAAGATAATACAAGATTAATAATGGCTGGATGTTGGCTTTTAAAAATTTCTGTATTTGCAATCTGTTTAGCTTTCATGACGAAAAAGCAGTGGCCGGGCACGGTTGAGGTCAGGATTTTGAGACCAGCTGGGCCAACATGGAGAAACCCCATCTCTACTAAAACTACACACACACACACACACACACACACACACACACACACACACACACACACACATTAGCAGGGCATGGTGGTAGGCACCTGTAATCTCAGCTACTCAGGAGGTTGAGACAGGAGAATCACTTGAACCCAGGAGGCGGAGGTTGTGGTGAGCCAAGATGGTGCCACTGCACTCCAGCCTGGGCGACAGAGCAAGACTCTGTCTCAAAAACAAAAAAAAAAGGAAGAAAGAAAAAATAGTATTTATCTCAGTATAACTCAAAGATGAAGGCATTTCTTGTAAAACCTAGAGACTTACTAAATACCATGTGAAATGACTGAATTAACACGGCTTAGATATTTTAATAGAACTTTGTATTATACCAAATGCAATTTTGTTATAAGAGGATTTGCCTTGAAAGATTTTTAAATGACAAGTATATATTTTTATAGTTTTTTACAATAATATGGTATTATGTGATGTTATATAGAATATAAGAGCTTACAAATTGTGAACTTATAAACTGTATTAAGTGTATCCTGTTGATTTTTAATAAATACTAAACAGACAATACCATCATTAATAGAGAGTCATTGCGTGTGCCTGTAATCCCAGCTACTCGGGAGGCTGAGGCAGGAGAATGGCATGAACCCGGGAGGCGGAGCTTGTAGTGAGCCGAGATGGCACCATTGCACTCCAGCCTGGGCGACAGAGTGAGACTCCGTCTCAAAAAAAAAACAACAACAACAACAAAAGGGAGTCATTAAAAGTGGAGGGGCCGGGTATGGTGCCTCACACCTGTAATCCCAGCACTTTGGGAGGCCGAGGCAGGCGGATCACCAGAAGTCAGGAGTTCGAGACCAGCCTTGCCAACATGGTGAAACCCTGTCTCTACTAAAAATACAAAAACATTAGCCAGGCATGGTGGTGCACACCTATAACCCAGCTACTTCGGAGGCTGAGGCAGGAGAATCGCTTGAACCCGGGAGGCGGAGGTTGCAGTGAGCCGAGATCGCGCCATTGCATTCCAGCCTGGGTGACAAGAGTGAGATTCCGTGGGAAAAAAAAAAAAAAAGTTGAGATAAGATTACAAGGACGTAGCATACTAGATATGTTCACTAAGTTAACAAAAATATTCTAATCTGAGTAGTGTATATTTTCCATTAACATTACCATATGTCTTAGGAAATATTTTAAGTGAAATCCTCATTTTATAATTGTTTAATAAGTTTAGATAAGAGATTTTAATCTAGAGTTTGTTTTTTCTGTGTGATTGAATTCATTGATTTCAAACCCAATTATATTAACAAATATAAGAATGCTAACAACACTGTATAGTCTTTCAGTTTGCTATTCCATTATGACCAATTTTTATTTTCATATAAGTATGGTAAATGTAATTAATAAAATTGGACAATTTATATTCATGTAACTTAATTCTTGGAATACAGGACTCTTTATTATTACAGAGCACCATGACTGAACAGACCTTCTTGTCAATGCATTAACCCACTGTTTCTCTATAAGGTACAGCAAACTCTATGAAAGGAAAAGGAGGGGAGTAACTTTTCACAGTACTAAATAAAGATCTGTTGAACAAATAATTAATTTCATTTATCAGAATATTTGATAGATTAAAATATAATTGATGAAAACTATTACTGTGAATGCCATGAAGACAGAATTTTCATTGTAGCGTTGTTTTATGGAAGCAATAAATTGAAAATAGTTTAAATAGTCATCAAAATGAAATGGTAGTATAAATTATGGCATATCCTCACTATGGAATATTAAGCATGCAATAAAAAGGAATGAGTAGATATAATCTACTGACCTGGAAAGATGTCCATGATACATTATTTTTTACTTAAATAAAACCCAGCATCCTCCAGCCCATTATGCTTGGCAAGTTTCCATTTTAATTTAAAAATATGATTATAGGGTATGTATTATTAATAGTAGTTACTTCTGAAGGTTGAAATTTGAGAGGTAAAAAGGAAACATTCCATTCTCAATTTTTAGAATTTTCAGCATAGTGTAATTACTGACAATTTTTGCTTTTTTGCATTATCTGAATTTTCTAAATTAAAATATACTGTTCTAATGATAAATTAATATCTGTTAATTAGAGAGCCTTTAAAATAAAGAAAAAACTTGAAATCACCTATAATTCTCCTGTGATAATTGCAAGAATTTATCACAGTGAATAATTTGGTTATCTTCTAGTTTTTTTTTCATAATTTATATCCATGGTCTCAAACTTTTACAAGCATCAGAACTACCTAGAGGACTCTTTAACACACAGGTTACCTGTTCCCAGCCATAGAGTTTCTGATGCAGTAAGTCTGAGGTGGGATCCAAGAATTTGAATTTCTAACAAGGTCTCAGGTGATGCTAATGATGCTGGCCTAGATACTATATTTTGAGAACTACTGTTTGCTATATTAGGAGTATTCTATATTCAACATTATATATTTTTAGTTTTTACATTAAACCATACTATAAATATTTTCCATTTATATTAAAATTTCTTGAAAATATTTATTTTGCTTGATATTTTCATATAAATAGAGAACAATTTAACTCATCTTTTTTGACTCGTTGAACATGTGTGCTTTATTTTTATTTTCATAAATAATTCTGAAATAAGACTTCTCATGCTAAAAATATCTAACTTCTTTGAATAATTTTATAAATGGGAAGTTATAAAATCTGTATCTTGGATTATGAACAGTTTTAGGCTCTTGTGATATATTGCCAAACTGTTTACCAGAAAGTTTGCACCAAACTGTAACAACAGCATATAAGACCATCCACTACTCCACACCCTCGTTAGCAAATTAATTGTTCTTAACTCAGCCTAAGGACTAACATTGTAGCTTGTCCAGTTTAACAAGGGAAATCAAAGGAGAAAATGCTGTTCAAATTTATAAACAATTTTTATATTTGGCTAGTTCACAAATTTACCAATGTCAAATTATTGTACCATAGAATAAATTTATAAGAAGGTCTTATATGCCACAGTCAAAGAGGATAAAAAAATATTTTTGACCTGTTAGAATGTGCATTAAAAGGAAATAGAGAAAAGGAGTGCATTCAATAGCTAAAAAACAAATCTTATTGGAATTTTTAAGGCTCTCGTTATTTTCTCCTCCCTACAATTTAAAGTAAATTTGATGTGTGGAAATAAACAAGTAGGGAAAAATCTGAAATGTGAATAAAGAGCACCAGCCCAAAATAACTTTGTGTAAGACTTGTCCTGTCTCACTGTTGGCACTGACAGATTTTAAAGATATGCCAGGTTTCCAATCTTTAGTCTTTCACTTATCTGGTAACCTTGGGAAAATTACTGCTACTGTCTGTGCTTCAGTTTCCTCATGGAAAAAATGGGATAATAATTCTTGTACCATTGAATTCTTGCTGGTACTCAATAAAATGTCATATTTAAAGCATATATATAGTAGGCAATCAATACAGGTAGTTATTACTCTGTTTCATCCACCAGCTCTTGGAATACAGTAATCATTCAGTGAATGAGTGGATGAACTAATAAGTTAATAAATACAGGTATAAATGGATAACTCTACCTCTAATGCAGCATCAAACAAAAGTTTTAGATGCTCTGCTTCCAGGCCCTTAGTCCAAGAAGACACAGCATAATGTATTATTACATTCCCTCAATTTCTTCCTGCACTCCCACATGGGAAGTCTTTGCTCACATCTTTTTTTTTATATGGCACAACAAAACCTTCCCTCAGAAAGAGGCCAGGATGAATAAAAGGGTCCTGAGTGTCTGGAAAAGGAAAACATTCAGCAGAAATACCACAACATCTAACCAGCCTTTCTTTCTTTCTTTCTTTTTTTTTCTTTTTTTGGATTAGCAGGGTATTTTGCTTTTATCCTTCTCAATGTGAATCCTGGTATTTCCCCCTGTAAGTGGCATTTCAAAGCTGACAGCTCCAGCTGTCCAGCCTTCCTCCCTCCAATGACTCATACCCAACAGATGGTGCAAATAGCTTGGCATCAATTCACTGAATCAGTGTTGGGGGAAAAGCCTTGCCAGACGACTGATGGTTTCTTTGAAGTTGTTCATTCTGGCAACAATGCACAGCTAATAGAACAGCCTTGGCTGAACAAAAAGATATGAAACTGATGTTTGAGAGAAAATCTGGAACATAGGGGTCTATATCTGTCACAGTGCTTGCAATTATTTTCTACCAATAATATCATTTTTATTATTATTATCTACCAGAGCTATGTAATTCTCTCACTTGACATTCCTAATACTTGATATTAAAATAAGCCTATTAATCCTGCTCAAATAACATTAGAAACAACATTGGACTGGAGGTCAGTGCACCTAGATTCTAGTCTAAGTTCCACCTGAAACTTCTTGGATATTCTTAACCGAAACATTTTGTGCTGACCTTTAGATTCTGCAGCTTTAAAATGGTGACAAAAATATCTTTCCTGACAGATTTACAAGGTGATTTTGAGAAACAGATAAAATAATGAATTCATAGGTGTTATGTAAATAAGTTTTATAAAATGTTATAAAGTTTAAAGTGTTATGAAGAACACTATACTGACCCCTCACAAAGAGGCATGAATTCTTTCCCCCTCCCCTCCCCTTGAGATGGAGTCTCGCTCTGTCGCCAGGCTGGAGTGCAGTACTACAATCTCAGCTCACTGCAAACTCTGCCTTCCGGGTTCAAGCAATTCTCCTGCCTCAGTCCCCCAAGTATCTGAGACTACAGGTGTGCGCCACCACACCCAGCTAATTTTTCTATTTTTAGTGGAGACAGGATTTCACCATGTTGGCCAGGATGGTCTTGATCTCTTGACCTCGTGATCTACCCACCTCGGCCTCCCAAAGTACTGGGATTACAGGCATGAACCACCACGCCCAGCCACAGGCATGAACTCTTAAATGAGGATGGGTTTACGCAGGTATAAGCTCTCACCTTCCTGTATACTACTGTGAGAGCTATGACAGGATTGGAGAGACAATGAGTATCATAGAACCATGGACTCTCACCCACTCATTTTTACCAACTTCTCAACACACCTTAAAAGCATGTTAACTCCACAATCCCATAAAATTTGGTTAAATCTTGGATTGATCTTAAAATTCTTTGCATAATGTGACCAATTATAATAAATTAGATGGAATTAAAGAAAATTGTGATATCATCAAACCAGTTATTACAATTGAATAATAGATCCTAAACACACTTTCATAAATAAAATAGTAGAATCCACAATTAAAGTTACCAGGAGACTGTAGCTTCCTGGATTAGAGATTTTCACAAATCCATCTCTGTATCATCACCATGGTAGGAAGTCAGACTGAAATATGGATATGGGTATCTAGCTCCAAAGCACAACCCATATGGATTTCTCCTATATTAACCAATTTGTAGTATTACCTGACAGCTGGAGAAGCAGAATTATTCAAATAATTTATTTCATTTTGCTTTTAATCCTTTGTATCTATATTTCCCAGAAACATTCTAGGGTGTTTTAAATAAGTAAATATTCACAGTTCACAGAATCCAAAAATGCATTCAAATATCTACCACTCAAAAAAAAAAAAAAAAAACGGCCCACCTAAAGCCTTTCTTCCTGTTTACTAAAACGAGTCTCTCATAATAACTATTTTCCGTTTTCCCTTTTCACTAAAACTTAGTTGACAGGAAAACAGATGATACTGACTCAAATGATAACCTAAAACTCACTTCTAGTAATTCAATTTATTCAAGATTTCACTTATTTATTCCCATGTGCAAGATACCACTATCAAAATAATCTGTTTGAAACTGAAAGTAACAAGTTGTTAGTTTTCATTTGTCTTTCTAATGAATGTGAGTATACATAAGAGGCTTAGGTTTAGAGTTTGTTTGCCCATAAATGTGGCTAAAACTTTTTCTACGGTAGCTGTTTAAACTGAAAGAAAATTGTACTAGGTATCCATTAAAGTTTGATCAGAAAAACATATGCCACTGTAGACATTTTGAGCTTTCTCAGGAAATTCAGAGTTTCAAGGTTACAAGGAAGCTGCCACCAGTTATTTCATCTGCCTTCATCACCAAACGGGGGTTCCTGAGGAAGATGCCTCCAAATTGCAGGCAAAATCCATGTCTGCCATCTGCTGATGCTCATGTGCCTGACCTGATGTGTCTCTTCTTTCCTATTTTGAATCTTCATGAAAGCCTCTAATTGGCAGAATATCACTGGAATCCTGCAGGCCATGGAGTATGGGAACTGTAGTCTCCAGGCTTCCAAAATTCATAAAACAGGACATTTTTCTGACAGGCCACCTCATCTCTTGTCAACTGAACCAAAAGAGCCAAATCAAAGAGTACAAGGCAGTCCTCCTCTAAAGAGTGACGCGTATTGCCTTCTCAGTCACTGAAAACCCTTGTAAGAGCTCTAATTATGCCAGAAAATGAATTTTCATGAAGAGAATTTGTCATCAGCAGCAGCAGCAAGTATTTATTGCCACAAAAATGAGAGAAGCACAGTTATTGTTCCAGGAGCATACAATGCCTTAGTCGGGAAGATAAAACTTTATTATTTTTAAAAGTGTTGAGCACCAAATTCATGTCAGGGACTTGACTAAAGGCTTTTCGAATTTCTTAAATCCTCATAACTTTTCTCTGATGTATTTATTGTTTGCTCTATTTAGCAGCTAAGAAAATTGAAATTCAAAGCAGTTAAGAGGAAATTGCCCAAGTCCTATCTACAGCATTGGTGCCAGACATACCCGGATTATGTCTGATTCCAAAGCTTTTGCTCTTTCTGCTACACAGTGATGGTGGTAAAGTCATATTTCTGAGGGTCAAATAATTACTATAAGAAAATAAGTGCTAAAATAATTCAAAGAGATGAACAAAAGTAAATTTATATTGGATGATCATAATCACCCATTCTTTTTAAGTCAGGATCTGTATTATTATTTTGTGAACATTTGACATTTGTTTACTACCACAGATAACTTAGGGTATCTCTTTGAAACTTCTTACTTCTGTTGCCAGTTAACAGGAATAAAGATTTAAACTTGAATTAAAATGCTATTCAGGGACTTCCATTAACCAGTATCAGTTGGTTGCTTCTAAAGCTAACCATGAGAAAAATATATATATATTTAAAGAAACTTTAGCAAGGACTGTCCATTCATTGCCTGATGCTATTTGGGAACAAAATGGCTCAATTCTTTTTGTCCTCAGATTAATAGAGCAAGCTCAAGTGTTATAAAGAGCACTTTAACTCCCTCCAATATTTTCACTGTGGTTTCTTGTGGCAGAGCTCATTTGCAATAATCCATGTGTAATTTGGTAAACCAAATGGAAAATCTGGCATTGTAACAATTCTCTTTACTGGGAGAAATGCTAAATATATAAAAAATTGAAAGGCAAGGCAACCCCATTCTTCAACTTTATCATCTCTTTGACAAGTGAAATTTTCCATTTGTTGATAGAATATTAAAAAACAGATGACATAAAACTGAAGAAATGTAATGAGGAACTCTGATATGGTTGTCCTATGCTTTCTAAGTATTGTAAGATGTGAAATGTGTATTATAAAATGTCCTTCTCAAGAGATTGAATACTCCTAGACCTAAAATTGAATTACTATAAAATACTTGAAATCATTAAAACAAGTATTTCTCTTTTTATTTGGCATATTATATATGTAAATAACATACACTAATTCTTATATCAGCCTGGTATTGGAGAAAGGCAACAAGGCTGAAGCAATGGGAAAGGGCTTTACTTCATAAGGATGACTTTTTTGAATGATAAAAGTACATAGTGAACCACAACATAAAAAAACATTTAGGCATAAAGGCTAAATCACTTATTTTGAAGTAAAAAATCATAAGATTTATACACTAGAATTGAATGTTTATCAAGAATACAAAAAGAGACTTGGCAGGTACGGTGGCTCACGCCTGTAATCACAGCAGTTTGGGAGGCTGAGGTTGGTAGACTACCTGAGGCCAGGAGTTTGAGACCAGCGTGGCCAACATGGTGAAATCCCATCTCTACTAAAAATACAAAAATTAACTGGGCATGGTGGCATAGTCCCAGCTACTTGGGAGGCTGAGGCAGGAGAACCGCTTGAACCCGGGAGGCGAAGTTTGCGGTGATCTGAGATCATGCCACTGCACTCCAGCCTGGGTGACAGAGCAAGACTCCATGTAAAAAAAATATATATATAAAATATACAAAAAGGAAGTTATTTTAGATTTAGATTTTGATATTTAATTACTCCATATGTTAGAGATTTTTAAATAAATTTTTGCTTAAAAATGCAACAGTGTCAACTTTGCTGTAATTTGATACTACTTTCATTTGAATTTACAACAGGGTGGGCTTATTTTTCACATTCCATAGAAATATAAGTTCCAGAGACTTCAGCATCACCTTTGGGATCTTATGAGGTCAGTAAATAATACCCTTTTCTTCCCATCTTATGTTCAGAATAGATTTAAAAATAAGGCAGAGGAAATAGATCGAGATTTAAACAACAGCTTTATGACTGATAAAGCAGATTAGAGAATGTGGCATCAAACATGCATCAAATAGCTTCCCAACATGCCATCCCCAAAGTAGACAGACTCACACACCCAGAGACACACCGAGCTGTGGGCTTTTCCCATCCCATGGAGTTCATCTGAATGCACAAGAGCAAAGAACAAAAGTGGAGGTAGTGACTTCTAAAAGTAGGAAAGAAGGGCTGGGTTGGCTTTCCCCAAAACCTGCAATCAGTGAGAAGTGAGTGATGGGTGAGGAAATGAGGCAGTAGTACTATGCTACAGGGACCCTGTACATGGAAAAACGAGGGGTAAAATAGTGTCTCCCGTCCCCAAAATTCAAATTGAAATAAGGAATCAGTGAGGGTGTGTAGCTTCCAGGGTGACAGCCTGCAGTCATCCTCCTTCACCTACTAAATATATATGTTTTTTTTCCTGCATATAGCACATACAAATAATATATATTTCATTTTTACAAAATATTTACTTCTTTTTCTCATTTTAGTGTTCGTTAGCCCATAGTACAGGCATATAACAGTTTTTTCCACAAAGTATTTTAACCTAGTACTGGAGATGAATGGATAGATAGGTAAGATGATTGATACATATATATAGATAGAGAGAAAAAAAAAACTTCCAGAAAATACTGCATTGGGTCTAATCATCTTTTGTATTATAAAATAACAATAAAGGGTTACAGTCCATATAATAGATACTAACAAAATTAGTTACTAATTATGTATCTGAATTTATACGGGTTATTTGCCTTCCCTAGACTGCTTTATGCATCACAACATATAGCCTTGGATGCAGAATGCAATTTTCTATGCCCTTTAGAAACTGCTATTTCCCCTTTTTCATCTGGTTATACATTTTCATTGTGCCATCATTGTGAATAATTGGGCTCACATGATACTAATAGCATAGAGATTTGGAATTTTTGCATTTATAAAGATCTAAAATAGTCATGATTAAATATTTGGAAGAAACTAAAACTAATTTTGAATAACTGTTATTGTGATGGGGGATGGGATTCAATCTTAACACATTTAGGAAATGCAAAATAAATTATCTAATCTCCTTAATTATGTAGAGTATTTTAATATATGCAAAATTAAACTTTAAATGATCGTTCAGTAAGATCAAATATTCGTTATGAAATCACTATTTAATCATTGCTCATAGTTGCCTAACCCATTACAGTTCAAACTGCTGTTAAAAGAATGGCCTAAACTTGCAGTTTCACCTATTACATTGTTTGAGGAGCCACAGATCATAGCGTGTGTGGTCCAAAAAAAGTCAGAAAGAATAAAATTGATATTAGCATTTTTTGTTTACTTCTCTTAATATTGCTGAAAAAAGCAAAGACACTCTTCATCCTCCTTGATGTGATGCTGATTTTCCATTCAAGTGGAATCCCACAGCAGGACATTGGAATTAAGCAATAAAGTGCTCTTGGTGACCAAACACCAGACATGTCACAATTAACATGAGTAAATTAGGTTACATCTTATTTGTCAACTCATTTTCATTACTAGTTTTCTCTAACCACCAAATGGATGGGTTAGAAAGTGATGGATTATATGCCTGTTCACCAAGCTGCTATAAGTGTCTTAGAGGCTTTGTCAAGAAAGTCACCCACGACTGGGCAAGCTAAAGGGACTTGCCAAAGGAGTCAAGAGGAGGTAGGCAGAGCATGAAAGCCCTTCTTAGGAGAATGAAAAAAGAAATGGGAACAGAAGCTAAAAGGTAAAGCAGATAATTGTAATTAAAGTTTCATTAGAAAGTATTCTCCAAAATCAACCAAATAAAGTTAGTGGGAAACGGTATATAGATAATGGATAACAATCTAGGATTTGAAGTCAGACAGAACTAGACATGAATTTCAGCTCATACATCAATAGACAGTACAACCTGAATAAATTTCTTAATTTTTCAACATTTCAATTTCCTCATTGAAAAATTGTCATAATAATACTATTATGATTGTGGCGAAGAGAAATGAATTTTTTTTGCATATCAAAATTGTTCAATAAACACTCCCTATAATTACTGCTGCTTTGCTGTGCTGTAGTTTTTATTAATGTAGAAAGGCATTAGCTCCCATTTCTTTAAATTCAGCAGTGTAATTATGAATATCCATCACCATTTCTGCTGCCAAGACCACTGCAATGAAGTAGGGAAAAGGGAATGGCATACTGAGATGAGAGCCAGTGGGAGTGGCCTGCCCCATGGTAAGGAGTATTTTATCACTTATATCGTTTATAATTGTCTGTGAAAAGTGATTTTTAAAAAAACTGGCTTTTAATACAGTTTAAATTCCCTACAGATAATGCATCCCTTTATTGACTGTGCCAGTGAAACTGTCCGCTCACCATATCCTGCCCCATGCATCACCACTGCTCTTTATACAGATGAAGTCTGAGGGCCAGAGAATACAAGCAAGTAGCCAAAGTTACAGAGGATCATTTTCAAGCTGCTTCTTTTCAAAAATAATTCCACATTTTTTCAGTTCTTTCCAGCTCATTTGCCACTTCCTAACTTCTTTTGACTCATGTATCAGGTCCTTAGTTTGGTTTTCCTCCAAAATCTAAACTAACACAAGCAAAATCCATTCATTTTCAGAGGTTCCTCATAGAAAAGGTAGAAACAAATATAGTGCATTCACTCTAAAGGATTTTTACTATTTCTGTTTCTACCTCTTATGCAGTATTCCTGGTCTCTGCTAGTCCAGTCTTACGAGGCTCTGTTAACAACTGGTGTGATGTACTAAAATGTTTGCCTGGAATAAGGCGACGACAAAGTCGAGCCACCTTTATGCCATGTCATATTTTAATAGTGTTTTGTTTCTTAATCCTTCCCAAAAGGGAAAAAATACATGATAGCTCTTTTCCCCCAACTGTAAAGAAAAAAAGAAAAGCTAAACAATGTTGGGATTTCTTCCAGATTCTATTGCCCCTTCACTGAAGCTATTGTGAGATGTTTCTTTCAGTGTGTGTATTAAGAATCCACTCTGCTAGCTAAAGTCAGGTAAGTTTCCACTTGTCACCACTGAAGGAAGTAAAATGCCAAGAATGGAACAAATGACACACACCTTTATTTCCACCATACACAATGTGCCTTTCCACTTGGCAACACAAAGCAGAACAGATAAAGTAATATTCTGCTAAATAATTATGCACACCAAAACAATGGCTATTTGTGCAACTCAAGAAGAAATCGTTATGTTGTTTACTGTTCACAGTTCTCACTGTCAAAGGTCAATATTGTGTTTTGTGCCCTGATTGTCTTAAATTAATAAACACTATTCTCTTGCTGGGTTGAGAAAGAAAAGAGCAATCTGTCAAGAGAAGTATTTCTCTTTCATTAAAAGATTTTACTCAGTCCAGAAAACTGCTCCTACCTCCACCTTCCTGGCTAGTAATGAGAGAAAATCCATGGCAACCAGTTTCAAGCCACCTAAATAAAGATGTCCCAAAGAAATCCTATGATGAATATGATCTTTTTCCAGAAGAGCATTTCTCTCCATAATTATGCTATAAAACAGATTTCACACCATAGGTATAATGTATAAAACATAAGCTAAAATTTAGGGCCTAAGATTTGAAAAGTCTAAAACATTTCTATCTCAACAGTCTCTATTTACTCTAATCACTTTTCTATAAATAACTATATCCATGTGGTCTATTCCAAAAGTCCTCTAAGCATATCACATGTTTCTGCTCAGAAAAGTTTGATAGTACCAATTATTACTTACTTCAGGAAAAAGGATATGCATTTAATAAAATTAATTGGGGAAATTTATTCATAAATGAATATAAAGATTGTGGTGAGGATCCTTAAAATGCTCATTTCACACTCAACTCTAAAGTTTACTCATGATTTGACTAACCGATAAAAGCTCTGCAATA
Source organism: Homo sapiens (assembly GCF_000001405.40). Lineage (NCBI taxonomy): Eukaryota > Metazoa > Chordata > Mammalia > Primates > Hominidae > Homo > Homo sapiens. The sequence continues at coordinate 89,846,163 of NC_000007.14, forward strand.
AAAAAGCAACGTAATAATACAGTTTCTAAATGAGCAAGTATTGAAGCCAATTGAAACCTAGTAGGTGAAAAGGTTTTTTTTATAAATGTTAAAAGCTGAAGCTTGAAGGGATAGGAAATAAAACATTTTAAAAGCATCAGTAAGAGACAATCTTAGGTATAAACATAATTATTTATTTAGGGGATTCCTAGAGATAGATGCTGCAGCCAGCAAAGATATGATGGCACGTAAACCACATCAACAAGAGAAGTTGGAACAGCTGAAATGTGATGTTCCTCCCAGGGAAGCAATTTGGACTCAAACCAGGCCAACAGTGATGAAAAATCATTATCATTGAGTGACCAGTTCTTTAGTTGTGTCTCATTATGGTTTGAGAAAGGTATTTCAGGTCTGGACTTGGAAGCTAATGCTTTTATCACAAGCATCGAATGCTAATTTGTTAATCCAGATCTGCCAGGACAAGCATAGTTTCTTCTTATTTCAATTACCTACACTGATGGTTAGAAAGCACACCAGAATCCAAGCATCTGTTTCATTTGAGATAAAAAGTGTTTAAAGAAAACAAAGTTAATACCATATGCATTATAATTAAAATTCTGCTTGGACAATAAAAATGTTAATATATAAGTGAATTTTTTTTTTTAATTTTTAAGACAGAGTCTCGCTCTGCTGCCCAGGCTGGAGTGCAGTGGCATGATCTCAGCTCACTGCAAACTCCGGCTTCCAGGTTCACACCATTCTCCTGCCTCAGCCTCCCAAGTAACTGGGACTACAGGCACCTGCCACCACGCCCGGCTATTTTTTTGTATTTTTAGTAGAGACGGGGTTTCACCGTGTTAGCCAGGATGGTCTCGATCTCTTGACCTTGTGATCCACCCACCTCAGCCTCCCAAAGTGCTGGGATAACAGGTGTGAGCCATCACACCTGGCCTATAAAGTGAATTTTTTAAGCAAGGGGAAAAGCTCAAATTCAAATTTTAAATAATCTGTTGGTTGATTCTCTATTAAATGAGTTCAAGAAAAAAGACTAATCATTCACATCCTCACTACCATCAGAGATTGCTAATTACCATCTTTTTCCAACTTTTTTGGGGCTAATTCAGAAATTCAATGTTTATGACATTTTTCAGTTAAATTCTTCATAATGTATACTCAACAAAAGACAAACATCTCACATCAGCCAGCAAGTTTCCTCCCAACACTTAATATCTTCATATTTGGTAAAGGTAACAATCCAAAATAAAATCATTTTACTTAACGGAATTAACAGAGAATGAAATCATCGCACTGTTTCTTTAAAATAATTGTCTAGAATATGAGGTTTTTCCACCAGGAAATATTATGAAAATACACATTGAAATTATTTCCTACTCAATCAGCAGTTCTATTAAGCATTTTACAATCAGATGCTTCAATGCAAGATGCAAATTGTTTTATTTCTGAATCCCCTCCCTCACATTGTGTGACTCCTGAAATTGCTTTAGAAGGAAGCACTTGTTTTTTAAAATAATATTGTAATTCTTTAATAGATACAAAACTAACAAAGAAACTTTGCTTTAACAAATAAGCAATCATTTAGGAGCACATATATCCCAAATATAAAAGATTGTAGATTTAAGCTATTTGTCTTTTTTCCAAGATCATTTGGTTTGAAAGATTCCTCTACTCAAAGGCAATGCGCATCATTTCCACTTTGCTAGGTTATTTGGGAAACACTACAGAAGTGGTAGAGTTTATATGCCACAATGGTTACAATTATTGGCTTTAAAGTCAAACATGAGTCAGAGTCCCAGGTCTGCTACATAAGATTTTGTGATCTTGAGCCTCAGTGTTATTATGGGTAATTGGAATAAAAATAGTATCTTACATGTTTGCTGTAAAATTGCATTAAATAATGCTTAATGCCTATGTATAATAAACAACAAATGTTATCTATGATAATTGTGATTAATAGTATAATTAATAAATGGATATACATTTTTATTTCTATAAGTATGGCTGAGTAGATACCCTGAATCATTGTCTCAATTGAATCAATTAAAATTCCAGTTAAAATATAGCATTATTTTTCAAAGCATTGTTGAACTGGCATGAAAGTTAGAAATTCAAAAGCCCTAAACAAAATTAAAGCATTACTGCTTACTCTAAGAGGTAAAAAAATAATAAATCTGGCATTCACCCGAGGGTTCGAGACCTTGCTATTCTAATCGGCAGGTTTGTGGAGTTAGGGACAGAAGACAAAGGCAGCACTCTGTTTATAGGTGGAATTTAGGATGAGACACTCCAGATAGCTGGAAAATGTTTACTGGAGCTTTGTTCTTGCTTTTATTTTTGTTGAATGGCAAATCATGCTTTCTATAAAATTTTTAAATCCTCAAAATAAATTTAATTTAGAGTAATTTTGTTTGGTACTGGCCACGGGCAATTGGGAGAAGTAAATGCAACTTTTCTGAAAAATATCACTTTTGGCACAACCCTCAAATAATTCCCACAGATAAAGTTCCAAGGATAAACAACTCAGAACTGAATATCATAAAACACACATACAGAAACAAGATATTATATGTAGAAATCTGTAGAAATAATAGCAGAAACAAGCTGACAAACATTAAGAAAAGGAATTATTTGAAACACACTAAGAAATAACTCTATATGTCTAAAGAAACAAAAAAAGTTTGATATTTTGACTAGCAACTAGGAGACTATAAAAATGAACGTTCAGATTTGAAAAGGAACCAAATAAAATCTCAGGAAATACTGTACTAACTAAACTTAAAAAGTCAATAACTGAATTAAATTCAGCAGCAGAGATAAATTATGAACTGGAAGAGATATTGTCCAGAAAATAGTCTGGAGAGACAAAGAGATGGAAGACAAAAAATGAAGTGAAGGGGCACAGACAGAAAAGGGCTGATCAATATGTAATTGTTGTTTCAAAGGGAGATAGAAAAAAATGGGAAATAAACGATCACAGAAAGAGATAATAGTTGAGAACGTCATAGAATGTTTTAAAAAAAACCACAAATTCTCAGTTCTAAGAATATCAGTGAATACTAAGAAGGGTAAATAAATACATTTGCAAGACGACAAATCATAACTAAACTGTGAAACACGGAAAAAAAAAGTCTTTATTGAAGCCAAGGAGAATAAACAAATTACCCACAAAGAAAAGGCAATTATATTGGTAGCTGACTTCACAACCACAGAAAGAAAAAAATAGATGTCTTGAATATTATTTTCAAGATGCTGAGATGAAATAACTATAATCTTAAAACTTTGTACTGAGCAAAAATATCAACCAAGAATAAGGGTGGATAAGGATATTTTCAGACCAAGAGAGTTAACACGAGAATTAAATATTTAAAGCTATGCTTCAGAAAGAAAGATAATGATCCCAGATAGAAATCTGAGATGAAAGAAAAATAATGGACAAAGATACTGGTAAATATGTGAATAAATCATAAAATAAGAATGTCTATACAAGTATGATTTATCAATAATATTTAAACATTAAAACATTAAAAAAAGAATGTCTTGGGTGTAGGTGGGTGGGAACAGATTCAAAATAAATTATAGGTCTCATACAGTTACAAGGGAAATGATAGAACTTACAGGATTCTTATATTCAGGTAAGGTTGCCAGATTTAGGAAATGAAAATATGCTTTTCATTCATTGTTTACCTAAAATTCAAATTCAACTAAGTGTCCTGTTTTTTAGTCTGGCAACCCTATGTTAATTGATATGTATGAAAAAAAATTATGCTTAAATTTAAGTATGCAGTTAATTTAATAATATAAAATCAATTAGTGCATTTTGCCATATTTACAGATTGAAAAGAAAAATCATATGACAACTTCAATAAATGTAAAAAAAATTAATCAATAAAATTCAATATTCATTAAAGGTAATCTTCAAATGGAAATATATAATACACTTTTTTAGTCTGCTTATGAGTATTATGAGAATCCTTAGTAAATGTCTTACTTTGTGGTGACATTATAAAGTAATTTTCTTTAGAATCACGGATGACACAAGAATGGTTACTATCACTACATTTATTCCACATTGTGTTTGAGGTTCTGACCACTGGAATAAGAGAAGAAAATAAAATTATAAATTCTCACAATTGGAAAGGAATAAAGCAAGTCATTCTCTCAGATTATGTAATTGTCCACCTAAAACAAAGAAATCTACGGGTAATTGTCAATATATTATTGATGTAATTATGGTGTGTGCTAAACTGGCTAGATAGGTAGTGATAGGTAGTGATTTTGGATTTGGACTCCCACTAACTTGGAATATTTCTGAGTTAATTTTACAAAATCAGCATATTTCTTGTTTAAAAAGAGAAAGAATCACAATGTTGCTGGAAATCAATATATATATTGATATATATATATGTCTTGTTCTGTTGTCCAGGCTGGTGTGCAGTGGCAAAATTGTAGCCTCAACCTCCAGGTACTCAAGCAATACTCCCACCTCAGCCTCCCAAGTAAATATGACCACAAGTGCACACCATCTAACTCGGCTAATTTTGTTTTGCTTTGTTTTGTTTTGTTTGTAGAAATGAGGTCTCACTATGTTGCGCAGGCTGGTCTTAGACTCCTGGACTCAAGCAATCCTCCCACCTTGGTCTCCCAAACTGCTAGGATTACAGGCATGAGCCACCATGCCGAGCCATAAATATTTTTAAATAAATATAAAATACTATTGTATTTTTATATGTCAACATTAACAGAAAATGTAATTTTCAAAATGATATCATTTTTCTATGGCAACAAAAAAGTACCAAGTACCTAGAAATAAATTTAATAAAAATTGGATAAGCATTGTGAAAAAAATTAACTTTTATAAAGGCAATAAAGAAAACATAAGTAAAGGGAGAATTATGCCATGAATCCATAAACATAATTGCATGTGCACATGCATACATACCCACAAGGTTGGTAATTGATAATAGAATGGAAGCTTCTGCTGAGTGGGGAGAACATGGACTCCAATACTTAATTGTGGGCCAATTAGTTATCTTATAGAAGGAAAATAAAAGTGGATTGCTAACTTGCCACAAAAAAATAAAGTTATAATATTTATGATTGGAAGGGAAATCTATAAAACTAGTAGAATACCATGAGGAAAAACAGGTTTATGACTTTAGGCTAAATATAAAAAACATATACCATAAAGGAAATTATAAATTAAACTACAGTAAAATTAAGAACTTCTGTTCATCAAAGTTTAAAAGGTAATTCATAAACTAGAAGACATTAGCAACACATATTAGCCACAAATGCATATGACCTCAAAAATATTTTAAAACCCTGTAAATTGATAAGAAAAATATAAACATTTAAATAAAAATAAAAAAGGTAAAAAACACAGAAACACTTTTTACAGAGTAGAAAACACAAAATTCTTGTAAACATGAAAAATTTTCAGCTTCATTAGTAATCAGAAAAAATTTAAATAACAATGAAAATTCAATAAATAATGACAAAAGTTGTACAATTTAAGAAATGGGACAATACCACATGTTGGCAGAATAAAAGGACATATATTAATGAAAATTCTCTTCCACTGCTAGTGGGAAGATAAATTGAAACACCTTTTGGGAAAGTTGAGCATTACCTGGTAAAGTGGAGTGTGTGTGAAATCTGCAATCCAGAAGCTCCATGTCTACACGTAAAGCTTAGAGAAATCCTTGCACAAGTGTTTCAGAAGCATTGCAAGAATCAAGAAAAGAACATCAGTGGTTAAGAACCACGAACAACATAGTCAGGCTCTTAGATTGAAAACTCCTGTCTGCTACTTTATAACTCTATCTTAGTTAATTTATTAGCATTGTTATGTTCTTGCATCCTCAACTGTAAGTTGAAAATAACAATAGTACCTATTTCATAGGCTTGTGTTGATATTTAAATATTTAAAAGTGCTTGGAATAGTGCCTGGCACACAGTAAGTATTATACTGTTATCTGTTATTATTATTTACAACAGCATTGTTAATCATCAAAAAAAAAAAAACCTGGAAATACTGCAAATATTTGCCACTAGGATATGTATGTATAAAACTATATGTATACACACACATATATATTCATATATGTACACACATAAACACAATGGAATACAATATAACAGCAAAAATAAAAACTTTAGAATAAACAAGATAAGCAACTCAGACTATACAATATGATGCAATTTTTGTGATTTTTTAAAGGCAAAATGTTACATTGTTTAAGAAGGTATATTTTATTAAACTTGGGGAAAAAGAGAGGGAATGATTTACATGAATTTAGAATTTCAGAATGGTTGTGTCCTCTTTGGAGACAATGAGTGGAATGAAAGCTGGGAGTGTGACCCAAGGGTTTCTATAGTGCTAATAATATTCTCTCTCTTAGCCTATAAGAAGATTGAGATTTATTTAGTCTTAAACTGTATGTATACCTCTTGTGCACATTTTATGTTCTGTATTTTGCCAAATATAGTGTGAAGTATTTTAATGTGAAGTATTCCACAAACTCAAGGTATAAATATGGCTTCTTTGCTTTAACTTTAAAATTAATTGCTTTACTTCTCACTTGCCTTGTTGATATGGTTTGGCTCTGTGTTGCCAACCCAAATCTCATGTGAAATTGTAATCCCCGTGTGTTGAAAGTAGGGCCTGGTTGGAGGTGATTGGATCATGGGGGTGGTTTCCAGTGGTTCAGCACCATCTCCCTAGTGCTGTCTCATGATCGGGTTATCACGAGATCTAATTATTTAAAAGTGGCTCTTCCCCTTTCTCCTGCTGCCATTTAAGATATGCCTTGCTTCCCCTCACCTTCAGCCATGATTATAAGTTTCCTGAGTCCTCCCGAGCCACATGGAACTGTAAGTCAATTAAACATCTTTATAAATCACCAGTCTCAGGTAGCTTTTTATAGCAGTGTGGGAACAGATAATACACTTGTTAACAAGAAAATCATTTCCTCTCTAAAATACCACCTCCTTTACAAGTTGTCCTAAACATGGGTTTTTTTTTTTCCACACCTAAGGAACTAAGATACACGAGTCCTGGATATTTTCTGTCTCTCATTTTCACTGCTTGTCACAATTGTATTGCAATGCTAGAAGCTAATTCAAAACAATTTTACTGACGATGGGGATGCAATATGACCCAGATGGAAAATTTATATTATACACATCTCATCAGCAGCAATTTCTGAGATGAGGTTAGAGCAGCAGTAGAAATACAAAAGAAATAGAAGGAAACGGAGAATGGAATCATAGACAGCAGAAAAACATTTACCCCTTAAATGTCAAATTGGGGATAACAAAACCAAATTAGCCTCATACAAATTTTACCTCTCCTTAGTAATAATGGTCCCTAAAACTATACTTCCTGAAACAGAAAACAAGCCCTGATTAACACTAAGGATGCTGTATTTCTTTTGAATTTCCTATTTTCTTCATGCAGAGCAATGTGTCAAATCCAAGTTGAGCTTCCTGCACAGGGCTGCTTAGGATCTGTTCATGATACACAAAGTGAGTTACTGGGTTGGAGGTTTCTAGCAGAGAGAGTCAGAATAAAGATGAGAAAAAATAGAAGAATGCCATTTTTAAATGCTTATTAGATGCGACATAAAAAAATGTATTCTAAGGTCTGTATTAAAAAGATTTTGCCCATAATTCCAGGGTAAAAAATGTTAAGCATGACTGCACAGAAATGATAAGGCACTGATTTATGTATAGACTAGGGGAGACAACAATTTTTTGGTTAGACTATTCCGTCACACATTATAAAATGGCTTTTCCTTTTTTACTGTTTAGTTCAATAAATCTTCTTGTCTATTAATCTGAATTGCTGGCTCAAGCTACATACCATGATTTTCTCACTGAAATAAAGTCTGTGGGAGAGGCCCCTGGCATAAACTAAAATCTTATATCAAGTGCAGAATTCTTCTGTCTCCTGCAGGCCCATTGCAAGATTTTACTGTGTTTGCTTACTAATATAAGCTAGAGAAATTCCCATTAATGTTTAAAGCAGTTGTAAGCCCCATGAGGACCCGAAATCACTTAAAATCCTTTAAGTGTTTTTCATAACACACATTAATCACTATTTCAGTCAAGACATATATGACAAGGAGTGATGAGCAAATAAAATGTTATAAATAAAATGCCTAGAAAAATATTTATTAGTATTACATTATAGTATAGTTTATGAAGTTAAAAAAAGAAGATAACAAATATTAGCTAACAATGATATAAACCTGATAAAACAGTAATTGGAACTAAAGTGTTCTAATGTCCTAAAATTCTAAAGCCAAGGCTTTGGTAGCTGGGAACAAGAACAGCTATACTCCAGAGGCCAATGTGGGGAAAGTGGAGACAGTCCTTCAAAGTCAAAGATGCAGCAAGTAAGAAAGAGTGAGCTGCCTAGACGTGTGACAGTAGGATGAGCCAAGGAAGCTCTGTGGCTGAGTCTTCTGGCAACACAATTTTGGGGATATTGACTCTTGAAAGACAAGCTGAGTCTGAGTTACCTGCTCTGAACCCAAAACACTTAAGAGCACAAAAATTCTATAGGGTTAGTTGGCAAAATTTCCAGAGATAAAAATGAAAATTTATGAATAACTTCACAAAGATTGCACAGACATAAGAAAGTAACCCACTTGGAGTCAATCCAGCCAAAACAAGAAATAAAAGAGTAATAATAAATTAATACCTGCAAGACAAAGATTTTGAAATTGTCAGTCCTGGCAGTCAGAAGAAATATGTATGAAATATTTAGAGAAATAAAATGGGCAATAGCAAAAATAAGCATAAATCAAGAAAATATCAGAAGTGAACAGACAAAATTGAAAAACAGAAATTCTAGAAAAAAATTTGAAATAAATAATTCAACAAATGTTTAAAACAGCCAGAAAGATATAGTTGAAATGAGAATTAGAGAGCTAGAGATACATAGAAATAATTTATCTGGAATGAAAAAAGAGAGATAATGAAATGAAAAATGTGACATAGGTTAGGAGATGTGGGTGTGATGAGTCTTATCTATTGTGATTACAGAAGAGAAACATTTGACTTTATCATGGGGCTACTACATAATATATTGTTCAGTCTTAAGTTTTTATTAAAAAAACTTAAGGCTAATCACTTAAAGAACAGAATGTGTAAACTGCAAAACAAATGTTGGGAGGAGTATAATAAGAGGGAAAATATGTTAATAAATCAATCAGTGTGAAAAAAAGTAATGAAGGAGAACATGTATAAAGAAAGAAAAGCAGAATAGATAGAAACAAAAACACCAGAGGAACTTGAGAGTAAAAACAAATCTAAGCATATAAATACCCACGATAAATATAAATAAGCTAAATTTTGCATTGACAGATACTGTCAGAAAAGACATAGGAGTTAGCATACTTACTATATATCAAGTAATTACAGTTAGTTTTAATATTGATGTTTAACACACAGACCTTCTATTTTTAACTAATGAGGGCCTCTAAAGTTAAGTTCTGAGCTCTTGACATGACAACGGAGGTAGCTAGAATTGTTCTAGATTTAAGTTCCCATTTCTCCAAGATGTGTTGGTTTCTAAAACGACAGGGAATGGTATTTAGAGACCATGATCAAGGTATTATGGAGATTCAATCCTAGAGAACTGATGATAGTTTCTAGGCCTTTTCAGTAGACAAAGCAAGGAAATAGGCATTTCTTAAAAGGGAATGCAGCATAAAGCCTGAGTTCATATCAGTAATTCCTATTCGAAATTAAATTGTTTCTATCTCTTTTCTCTTGCACTGAAAATTTTCAGTTCCTAATGACATTAACATATTTTACTTATTTTATTCTACTAATAATAAAATAACAATCCTAATGATACAGGAATTAAAAAGAAATTACTTAGGCAGAGAGTGAGGGTATGGAAGTCCTCGATAAGGTTTTCCTTTTAATGAAAAGCAGCCCCAAATTATTTTTCCTTCTAACAAAAAAAAGCAGCCTGTAAAATCGAACTGCAGACATAGATGCTGGCAGTTGTGCCAATCATGTTCAAGATGGTGGCTCTATCCTACCTTCTTTTTGTCAGTCACATGTACAGTAAGAAGCAGACAAGATGGCACCAATCAACTGAAAAGTTCACTTGCATAATAAGATTAGGGTGGGGTGACCAGCCTTCCCCACACGCTACATAAACATCACACCTGATCCAACCAATCTGTGAGCCCTATGTAAATCAGACACTGCCTACACAAGGTGGACTATAAAATCTGGCACATCTGCCACCAGCCAGTCTTTTCCACTCAGAAGACCCCATCTCTCAATAGAGAAAGTTGTTTTTCTTTCTCTTTTCTTCTGCCTATTAAACCTCTGCTCCTAAACTCCTTGTGTGTGTCTGTGTCCTAATTTTTCCTGGCATGAGATTACAAACCCCAGGTATATACCCCAGACAACATAGCAGCTTCATATTGGGGGCTTAACTAGAATACCAAGGTACAACATTCATTGAAACAGTAAGTAGGGGAGTGGACTGCAACTCTGTCCTTTCATTTTGGGGCTCTCGGTCTCCATTTTAGAACCAAATCAAACCAAATACTGGGCCTCCTTCAATCATTTAAAAATGATTAGCTTGGGTTCCAGATTTACAAAACTTGGTGGACAGGATTACATGGAGAATCCCCCAGCACTCGTGGGTTGTTGGGCATGTTGGCCATGTTTGAACCAGCTTTGTTTCATAGAGAACTTAGCCATCATGTGGGGCTAGTGGAAGTCCTGGGGCAACTGAGGATTTCTGGCTGGGGCTACCTCCCACTGTTATCCAAAGGCTCTCCAACTTTCCTATCACAATTTCCTCATTTCCTGGTCACAACCACCATATTTCTTATTCTCTCTGAGTATGCAATGTGCAGGAATTTTTATAGTTCAGGGAAGTAGTCTTGTTTGGCAAGATCAGGGAATGTCATAGTAACCAGGGATATAGCTCAAGGGAAGGCATCTTTGTGATTTTCTAGGAACAGAACCCCCCAACCCTTCCACAGTAGGCATTACTCTTGGCCCTTGGTCTGGAGAGCACATGGCATTTCCATGTCACTCTCTGCCCTTGGTCTGGAGAGCACATGGCAGTTCCAGGTCTCTCTCTGCCCTTGGTCTGGAGAGTACATGGCAGTTCCAGGTCTCTCTCTGCCCTTGGTCTGGAGAGCACATGGCAGTTCCAGGTCTCTCTCTGCCCTTGGTCTGGAGAACACATGGCATGTTATGGTCACTCTGCTGTTGGTCTAGAGAGCACATAGCAGTTGAAGGTTAAAAGAGGCACCTAGAGGAATGGGGATCCTCTCCATGAGGCAAATTGTCGGTCCTTTACAGAAACACTCTAGCTTCCCAATTCTCCCTTTTTGCAGCCCTCTTGTAGAGAACAGGCTGCTTCTGTGAATGACAAAACTCTGCCTTCAACAACTAGGAGTAAAATATCCTTCAAAGCTAAATTTTAGCCTCCATACTGTCCCATCAGCAGGAAAACGGCCATTCAGTCCCTATATTCTTTTAAGGCACCTATCCTGCCTCTAATTAGAATGGTACTTAATTAGTAAGGGGATTTTAAGTTCAGAAGTTAAATGTAACCATTCTCTAAGGGTACATGCTTTAGCACAGACCATAACAGCAAGATACAGAGCTCAAACTAGCACACTTTCTCCATTAAGGAGGGAAATGCAACTGTCACATAGTCTCTCCTGAGATCTGCAGGGAGCCAGGCAGGTCACACAAGGCCAGGACATCAAAGGGAAATCACAGGCAGAGGACTAGAGCTGCATGGGTGAGTGTGACTAATCCCAATCTCTTAGTTCCTCTGGTTCCATGGCTGGGGTTCACACCTGCAACCATGAGTAGCACGTTCAACAAGGTGCCAGGATCCAGGAACCAAGAGGGAAAAAAAGCAGAAAGGACACCCCCCACTGTCTTCCTCTCCACCCTGGGTCACACCAAAAGGAAGGAGACTAAAGGCATGCCTTTTTCTCACTTCTCATTCTAGAAAGGTACCATCATCAGCCTGCACTCGCCTGGAGTCCATTCTGAAACACAAAGACTCATTTCACCCTGAGACTTTAAAGAAAAAGTGGCTCATTTTCTTTTGCACAGGGGCATGACCTTCTTACTAGACCTTTGCAGGCATTACAAAATCAACCCAGCTCTTTTAGTAGTCATATCAGGCAGGCCTATGGAGAATGATTCTCCTAAGTTAGAGAAGCAACTTCAGGGGAAGAATCTGAGGATTCCCCTTAGTTGGGTCCCCCTCAAGTTCCCTTCTCATTACAGGACCTTAGGGAAATAAAGGGAGACTTAGGCCAATTTTCTAACGACCCTGATAGATATACAGTTTTCCAAAATTTAACTCAAGTGTTTGACCTTTCATGAAGGGATGTTATGCTGCTTCTAAACCAAACCCTAACTGCAGCTGAAAAACAGCCAGTTCTGCAGGCAGCAGATAATTTTGGGTATGAGTAATGTGTCTCCTGTGATAGGTAAAAAGGGAAAACAGAAAACGGAGAAGGTGAAAAATAGTGGTAACAACTTTGCCAATAGAAGGAAAGCAGTATTTCTTGACAACCCTAATTGGAAAATCTAGACTTTTCTATGGTGTTTTTCCTTCTTTCATGATTTAAAATGGCTTCTATCTATTCTTTTATAATGTTCCTCCAAACCGGGAAAAGTTAATTTCCCCAAATCTTAAAAGGCTTGGCTTAGAGTTCAGCTTGGGAAAAGGGAACCCAGAAGCCTGACATGCTAGCAAAAAGGTAAAAGCACTTTTTTACCAGTCAGGCTTTTGGCTTCTCTCTCCCTGTGAAAATCAGTAAACGAAATAGTAAGGAGCAATGTTTATATTCTCTGTAAAGTTTTAATCAATGAAAGAGGATTTGTGAGGTTGGTATTACACTGTAGCCAATCTGGTGTACTTTGTGTGTCTTTCTGTATAGTTCTGTCAAAAGAAAGAGTACCTTAGGTTAGGATACAGGCCCAGGATGCCATAAGCCTGCTGTTCAAGCCAGCTCAACAAAATGGTCCATAATAAACTTTACCTCCATCTTGTTTCATGTCCTTGGGAACATGTCCTATAACCACATGGCAATACTTTTTTTTAGTCTCTGTCTTCTTGTGCTAAGTCAGTTCCTGGGTGAGGGCCACAAATTCAGAAAAGCCAGTTTATCAATCTGGGTAGGGCTAGCTAATACATCAAGGGCAGGGTTTACAGAATATCTTAAGCACTGATCTTGAATGGATCAGAATCTTGTAATCTCCAGCTGTGTGACTCCTGAGCCATGGTTTCTAATCTTGTGGCTAGTTTCTTGGTCTGATCCGCAGGCTAGAGGGAAATATATCTTGGGAAGGGGCTGTTATTATCTTTGTTTTGGGCTATAGTCTGTAGACCAGGCTCCTCCCAAAGTTGGTTTGGCCTACACCCAGGGATGGGCAAGGACAGCTTGGGGGCTGAAAACAAAATGAAGTTGGATGAGATCTTTTTCACTGTCTCTGTCACCACTTTGCAATGATGGTTTCAAAAGCTGCTTGCCACCCCTTTAAAAATATCTTGTACACTCAAGGTTAAGTCATAACCTAATTAAGCCTTGTTTGTTTCATCTGTGAGGTTACTCTTTGTAAAGTTCAAGAGCCGAAAATCTTAACTGCTTGACATGGCTAATGTCCTTTGAAAGGATTTAAAAAGATTTTCTTAAAGAGTGCTCAGCTTAATTAAAAGTGGAAATTCTAGTTATAGGTAGATTTAAAAGACCTTTATGTATTTTTCTTCTTGGATCTTGTTTTTCTGGAAAAAAAAAAAGGGTGGGGGGGGTTCTTCTCAGTTGACTAAATTACTTATTCCCATTTTTTTTTCTGTCTTGCCACTCTTAATGCACACATGAGAGGCTCTAAGCTAAAGTCTGATAGCCTAGGACTCCTTGAGGAAAACAGAGGAAATGCCACAGATGCCATTTTGGGGGGAAAAAAACCCTCTGTTTTCCTCATGAAACCCAGTAATTAAGAGCAGATAGTTCCCTCTCAAAGTCAAAGGCTCTGTTCTGTTTTGCATTGTGTTATCTGACATTTTTAAGTTTTGGGGCATCAGAAATTACCTCACATTAGAGAGTTTTGTTGTATAATAGCTAAGAAGGAAAGATACTTTAAGGGATGCCTAATAATAGTTATGGAGGGATATTTAATTCTGCACATTTGTATCAGAGAATCGTGCTCTTGACCACCTGAAAGATATGGAAACATCCTCATCCCCCACTGAGATGAGACTACCATGGGGGATGGGGTGTTTACAAAATAAGCTGATTGGCTTTGAGTTGCCTTGCAATGAAATGCATGGAAGAAGCACTGCACTGTCTTCTCCCATAGTATCTCCCTCCTTTTGGGGATCTAAAATCTAGTATAAAAAGGCACACTTAATTTTGGGATCTGTGTATTATATAGTATTTTATAGTGTATTATATAGTATTATATTATATATAGTATATATTGTATTATAGTATATATAGTCTTTTCACAAATTCAGTGTTGAAATAAAAGCATAGAAAGCTTGTCTTAAAATGCTAATCGGCCCTTTAGCAAAAGGGATTATAAAAGGTTTGTAAAGAGTTCAACTCATGATCAAATTGGTTAAAATTAGATGGAATCATCTATAAGGTTTTTTAAAAACAAACTGAGGTTAACATTAATAAACTAATGCAAGGGTAAAATTTGGCTTTCAACAGGATTTTCATGTAATAGTAAAGGCTAATGAAAGGTTTTTGCCTTTTGAGTCATCATTTTGGCAAAATAAATAATTTATGGCAATCTGGAATTCTATTTTATAACATCAAGTGTTTTAACACTCTAACATTTAACAGTCTCCCCAAAATCTAACTTCAAGTTTCAAAATTGTCTTTCCTGATGCCTGGCTTTCTGGATGGTTCAGAGGGCCCCTGAAACATCCAGAGAAGAGGTAAACAGGATCATTTGAATATGTTTAGTTACATGGGATTGCCAAAATGATGTTCAATCTTCTTTAGGTTATATTTTAGTGAATAATACTAATATATGTTCCAAAATTGTATGGGATTTCTAAAATTCTAATGTCTAACTATATGCTATCAATCATAATTAAGGTTAAAGTTATTGTAAACCACAGAGATAACTAAACTCCTTTGTCAGTAATGTTTTTAACTGTAACTACCCTGGATATTTTGTCATTTGCAGACAATTGTTGTCTTGCTTTGTTCCTTCTCAAAAGATGGTTTGTAATCAAGCTATAGGACTTTAACAGGTGTTCTCAAATGCAGTTTTCTAACAGCATTGAAAACTGTAACATTGGAATAGAGAAAAAACGTACAGGACCCATGAAGAGCTAAAATGTTCATGAATATCAAGCAAGAGTTAACTTAAGTGGAATGAACTCAGGAAACTGAAGCAAATCTTTTTGATTTTTGGCTGGAATATTGCTAATTTATGTTTTATTTTTCAGAGTCAATGAAACTTATTTTGAACTATTTACAGCCTTTAACAATTAAGTAAGGTATACTCCTGTGAACAAAATTTGGAGCATGTTTGTTTCTCTCTGTGTGGTTCCTCTAGAATTTGTAAACTATCTGTGAGTACTCTTAACTTATGACAATATAGTTGTTTGCATCAATGAATAAGAATCCATTTTTCTTTTGCAACAGGACACAATTGGAAAAACTAGTTGTTTTATCAAGGCTTTTACTGGAAGGGTATGCTTCCCTTTAAGGAGTGAATCTCAACTTGCAGAGCCAATAAAAGCCCCATGGGGAGAACTGGTCTCATACACCTGCCTATACAGTCCCCATACAGGGTTCCTGACTTGTGGTCAGTAAATTATGTTACTTTCTTACAGGTCCAGGAGCTCCAAGTTTATCTTGAGACCTTAAGAGGAGAGGATCACCCAACTCACAGGTATTTGAGGATACAAACCCATGGCTGGGCTTGGCTTTAAAGAGTCTTATCTGAGATTCCTTGTGGAACAGAGTTCCATCAAAGCCAATCCAAAAGGCCTATGTAGAAACAACCATTCTTGCTGCACGTTATGCAAGTAATCAGGACAAGTATAAGACTAAAGTTTATTCTACAAACAACACAGTCCTATCATAATTTGTTTTTACCAAAAATGACACTGGAAAGAGAAATTATGCACCAAAGCTTATCATGTATTTGTCATTAAAGCCTAGTCTCATTAATTGTTTTTAAGCTTTTTGCCTACCTTTTAGACTAACTCTGCTCATTTCTGTAAATCAAGTGGTGATCTCCTGCAGCTTGGAAGAACCAAAAAGGGATGGGTAATGTAAAAATCTGGATCAATATGCTAGTTCTGGGCAATAAACCCACAAATTCGGCTAGGTAATGAAAGTGAGTAGGGTGTCCATAACCCAGAGGTTTTTTGCTTGAGATATTAAAACCAAGGAACTTCATAGACCCACAGAGGGAAAATCTATATCTTGGCAAGTCAAATTTTATATGGAAAAAATCTACTATGTCACCTTTGCAGGAATTGCTATACTCACTCTACTATTTCCAATAGAGTTATACACGATAGCACCTTCTAGCTGAAATATTGGACAGAGAGTTTCCACTGCTGTAATATTTTACTTAATTATTATCCTTGTAGCAAGGATAATAGTTACCAACAAAAAGGAAGCATGAAAGTTTTACTAGCACTGAATCTGCTAGAACTTTTTATTGGGTTTGGTAATATGTCACACCCTAGCTATGCAAAGAAGGCTATAAAGAAAAGAGATTTTATATAAGAAATGATCTTGTATGGTAAATACTTGTCCTAAAGAAAATAGCTGGTTCTTTAAAAGAGGAATGTTTAGGACAAGTCAGAAGGTCTAAGCATGTCTTAGATGGTCTGTGGAAATCATGAAGGGATTAATATTTGCGGGAAAGATTTAGCCAAGGTTTAAAGTTAGCCAAGGTTAACTAAAGTTACTCTAGCTACCCAATTCCAATGCCACTTATCCTAAAAGGAATGTTACTTCTATATTAACATTTCAACAACATCTGTTGGAGGCAAAGCAGTTTTACAACCCATTGGAATGGCTGACACAATCAAACTCCAAATGGTGTTGCAGACAGGACCACACATGGACATGTCTTTCTTCCAAGGACCTTAGATTTACCCCAGGAGGAGCCCTAGCTACTGTTCCCACACAACGTCCCTATTCAGGAGAAAGCAGCCAGAAAGGGTCATCATCCAACACCCCCTAAAAGCAGTTAGGGTTACCACTCCACAGGGGAAAATAACACAGGAGTTAAGAAGAAATTGCTTAGGCAGATAGTGAGGCCATGAAGTCCCCAGTAAGGTTTTCCTTTTAATGAAAAGCAGCAATTAGTTTCCTTTCTAACAAAGAGCAGCCTGTAAAATTGAGCTGCAGACATAGATGCCGGTAGTTGTGCCAATCATGTTCAAGATGGTGGCTCCAACTTTCCTTCTTTTTGTCAGCCACATGTGCAGTAAGGAGCAGACAAGATGGCACCAATCAACTGAAAAGTTCACTTGCATAATAAGATTAGGGTGGGGCAACCAGCCTTCCCCACGTGCTATGTAAACATCATACTGAATCAAACCAATCTGTGAGCCCTACATAAATCAAACACTGCCTCCTCAAGCTGGACTATAAATTCCAGTGCATCCACCACCAGCTGGTCTCTTCCACTCGGAAGACCCCGTCTCTCAATAGAGAGAGCTGTTTTTCTTTCTCATTTCTTCTGCCTATTAAACCTCTGCCCCTAAACTCCTCGTGTGTGTCTGTATCCTAAATTTCCTGGCACAAGACAATGAACCCCAGGTATATACCCCAGACAATATAGCCACTTCACCAATATTGTAATGAATATAATTATTGAAAACAATATTTAAAAATTTTAAGTATATCATATAATCCTTAGAGTATGTCACACTAGTGATCTATGGTAAATTTACTAGAATTTAGGATCACTTAAAATAATTCTCCTTTGTATGGTTTATATCACCATATTGAACCAAAGTCAGATTCGTTAGCTCATTTTTTTTATTTTAGCTCCTGCTTTTGTGCTTCTCTCTTTTTTAATTTTAGTTTCTATTTTTTGAGACAGAATTTGACTCTGTTGCCCAGGCTGGAGTGCAGTGGTGCAATCTTGGCTCACTGCAACCTCTGCCTCCCAGGTTTTGAGCAATTTTCATGCCTTAGCCTCCCAAGTAGCTGGGATTATAGGCATGCACCACCACACCCAGTTAACTTTTTTTGTATTTAGGAGAGACGAGGTTTCGCCATGTTGGTCAGGCTGGTTTTGACCTCCTGACCTCAAATGATCCACCTGCCTCAGCCTCCCAATGTGCTGCGATTACAGGTGTGAGCCACCATGCCTGGCCCTTTTGTGCTTCTTCTACTAATTTTCAGAAATTACATAAAAACACATTTACGTGGTTTCAAAGTCAAACGCACAAAATGTGGCATATTTAGTATAGTTTGGTTTCTATTTATGAGCCCTCCATATATTCTTTTTCTTTTAAAAAGTTCTTATTTATTCATTTTTTAAATTTAGGCAAATATATATAAGCAAATATAATATATATATAATTATACAGGAAAACAATAATACGTTATACACATTCTCGCCACCTTATTATTTTATTCCATAGCAGTACATAGAGAATTTCCTCATTCTTTTAGAATTGAATAAAACTTCATTGTGTGGATATAATCATCTTTTACATAGTCCCAAACCCAAACATCCATGAAAGGTCATGGATAAATAAATATCCCTGCAATGAATAGTTCCATGCAAACGTCTTTTTGTGTTTTTACTAGAGTATCTTTGAGATAAATTCCAATCAGAGAGATTGCTGGGTCAAAAAGTAAAAGCATTCATAGTTTTACTACAAATTGTAAAGCTTCTATTCATAACAGTTTACCATTTTATATTCCCTCTAGAAACATACTTGTTTCCCCACAGGCTTGACCAAAGAGTATGTTGTCAAATACAAACTTTTGCCAATATAATAGAAATGGAATTTCACTGTAGTTTCAATTCGCATTTTACTTCTTGGGAAAAAAATTGAGAAACATTTCATATGTTTAAGGGTCATTTATTTCTCTTTCTCCAAGAACTGCTCATTTTTCTCCACAGTTATAATTCCTGTCTATTTTAGAAGGTCTGTATCATATTAACTCTTTATTTCCTAAATGAATTGCAAATATTTTTTCTAGTTTATCATTTATCTTTGACTTTGTTTATGGTTATTTTGCCATTCAATTTTTTAGTGTTCCAAAGGGTCAGTCTTTTCTTTACTGTTTTTGTTTTTTAATCAGAGTTAAGAAAGTTTTCTCTACTCCCAGATTACAAAGGACCTCACTCAGCTTTCCTCCTAGTACTTGTACATCTTATTTTTAAAATTTACATTTCTAATTCATTTTTATTTTTTCTTGAAGTATGGTGTGAAAATGAATGTAATTTTATATTTTTCTATATGTCTAACCAGTTATCCCAACATCAGTTATTTTGATATGATTGACGTGGAAAAACTGTACACATAGAGTTTGGGAACAAGTATACATCCACGAAATTATCACACCATCAAGGTCATAAATATATCCATCACTGCACTTCCCAAAGTTTTCTCCCACCCCACTTTATTGTTATTGTTATAATTCTGTGTGTGTGGTAGGAACACAACATAATATCTACAATTTTTGCAAATTTTAAATACATAATACAGTAAGGTGAGCTATAGGCACTATGCTATATGGTACATCTCCAGAACTTGTGTATTTTGCATAACTGAAACTTTGTACCCTTTGCCAACGTCACATATTGAAAAGTCCATCTTTTCTTCACCAATTTGATATGCTGACTTCATAATATAGTAAATTTTCACAGGGATTTTAATCTATTTCCAGATATTTTCCCTTTCTTCTCTTTAGTTAAATGTCTATTTGGTTTTCAACACTATGATATTTCAATCACTATATGTTTTAATATCAGATAGAACCAGTTCACCCCATATGCCACTACTCTATCAGGACATTCAGGGCTATTCTTGCTTGTTTTTCCAAATGAAATGGCTAATCTATGTGTTTATGTCCGGGGTGGGGGGGTGTGGAATCTTAATGATAATTACACTGAGATTATATTAGATTTATTTATTAATTTGCAAAATATTAACATATAATATTAAAGCTTCCTATAAGTTAATATGGTATATAAACACAACACAAACCCAATTAGAGGATATACTGAAAGAGAAGTCCTTGTTATGTTCATAAATATTTATATGCAAGCCTAGATGTGTTTAAAACCTATATGGAGAAAGCTATAAAAAGCTCCTGAAAGGCACAAAAGTACCTACAACAAAAGGAAAAGATATGCCATATTTTTGCATACACAATTCAATATCATATAGATGTTAATCTTTGCCTGCACACGCATAAGCTCAGTTTCCTGCTTATTGTCTGAAATCCTTCTTTCGACACTTTCTAGAAAAACATCATGGAAAAGTCAATGTCAAAACACACTGTATGGGTATCACAGACATGAAAAAAATCTGAGACTACCGTAGAGCATCCTATAAAGAAATGCTGTATCATTAACACTATTGATAA
This sequence comes from Homo sapiens, assembly GCF_000001405.40. Lineage (NCBI taxonomy): Eukaryota > Metazoa > Chordata > Mammalia > Primates > Hominidae > Homo > Homo sapiens. The sequence continues at coordinate 89,866,772 of NC_000007.14, forward strand.
TAAAGAACATCATGCTATATGGAAAACGACAAACATCAAAAACTCTAAGAGCCAGACTCTAAATGCAAAGAAATTTGGAAAACTTTCAACACAGATGTTTTCAAGGGGTCTCTGAAGCCTTTTAGGGATCTGCAGGGTTGAGGTGATTTTCAGTATTATTATTATTCTTGAGACAGGGTTTTGCTTTGTCACACAGGCCGGAAGGCAGCAGTGCAATCATAGGTCACTGCAGCCTTGAACTCCTGGCCTCAAGTGATCCTCCTGCCTCAGCCTCTTGAGTAGCTGGGGTTACAGGCATGAGCCACCATGCCCAGCCATTTTGCATAATTTTTAATGTGTTATTTGTCATCTTTCATTATGTTGAAATTTGCCTTAATGGTTCAAGAACAATCATAGGTAAAATTATTGACAACTTTTCATGAATTAAGTGGTATTCATGAAACTGTGCCAGTGGACATATTTTTCACCACCACACACTCAGAGTACTAAAAAATAATGGGGAAAGCCAATTTCTCTTAAAAATATCTTAGGTGAAGTAGAAATTATTGATATTATTACATCTCAACCCTTTGAGTACCCATGTTTTAAATCTGTGTGACAAAGGAGGAATTATACATAGAGTACCTGGCTGCATACCGAAGTATAATAGTTGCCTCTAGGAAAAGCACTTAGGCAGTTGTTTGACTGGTGAGCTGAACTAGCTACTTTTTCACAGAATGCTATTTTTAGTTGAAAGAGTGGCAGACAAGAAAATGATGAGTATTCAAATTTGGGCTACCTTTTAGAAAATTTCTTAACCATAAACAAAGTCAGCCTGCTGTTTCAAGGTAAAGAACTGGCTACATTTGTCAACAATGATAAAATTTAAGTTTCCAAGTGAAAATTAGAATTTTGGAAAACTGGCATCTGCCACCATGCATTTTCCAATCTTCAAAGAATATGTTTTGTGGGGATATCAGTTGAGGTTTTGACACTACATAATAAACGTGTTAATATTTGAAAGTTCCCCAAACTCAGTGAATCAGTATTTTCCAAATACCTAACGCATGATGTTATAAAATCATGCATGGTAAAAGACCATTCAGAGTACAAGATAAACTAATAAATTTTAATGTAACACTATAGGACAAGGCCATTGATATGTGAAGTGAGCTGAATGGTGGCCCTGAAAAAGATATTTCCATGTCTTAATTCTCAGAACCTGTAATTATTAACCTTATAGGATAAACAAGTAAATTACATGTAAAATATGTGATTAAGTTACATATTTTGAGACAAGAGGCATATCCTGGATTATCTGGATGGGACCTAAATCCAATGACTAGTATCCTCATAAAAATGAGCCAGAGGTGGACTATATAGACAGAAGAGGAGAAGGCAACGTGACCACAGAGGCAGAGATTGGAGTGACAGTCACGATTCAAGAAATACTGGCAGCCACCAGAATATAAAAGAGACAGAAAGGGTTGGGCACGGTGGCTCACGCCTATAATCCCAGCACTTTGGGAGGCCAAGGCAGGTGGATCACCTGAGGTCAGGAGTTCAAGACCAGCCTGGCCAACCTGGTGAAACCCCGTCTCTATTAAAAATACAAAAATTAGCCAGGCATGGTGATGGGCACCTGTAACCCCAGCTACTTGGGAGGCTGAGGCAGGAGAATCGCTTGAACCTGGGAGATGGAGGTTGCAGTGAGCCGAGATCAAGGCATTGCACTCCAGCCTGGGTGACAGAGTGAGACTCTATATACTTTTACCAAAACAATATATGGGAGCAGATTGATACAGAAGCAGACATAAGAATGCAGCTGTCTTCTCTTAAGACAGACATTTAAGAAATTTACACAAACGCAAAACAATCCCACTCTAATAACTGTATTTATTTTGGAAAATATAGTTAAGTTTTCCTAACAATTGTTATGTTGACAAATTATGGTTTTAGTATTGTAATTTTAAAATGAATTATTACATATTTTTAAATTTTTCAAGTTGTAATTTTTAATACAATAAATGATAGCTATGATCCACATAAACAAAAGTTCTTTGGGATCCTCAGAATCTTCAGAAATATACAGAGGCCCTAAGACCAACAAAAGAATACTGCATTAACTAGTTTATTATACTTATAATTTCATATTTTATGCATTCATAAGAATGACATCTGATGAAAAATCTACACCTCTATAAATTCAAAAGACTTCTTTCATTAAGAATAAAATATTGGAAAATGAATTCAGAGGTCTCTATGAGGTGTGCCTGGAGGAGGAAGCTAAATTTCAGTTTCTGAATTGAGTTTATTAAAGGTTTGGAACTTCTTAATAAAAAGATAAAAAAATCATTTGACCCCTCAATGAAAAAGCAGAGGAAAAATGCAAAGCTTGGGGGAAAACTGTATAAAAAGTCATGATCATAACATTTTAATATTGCACAGAGAAAAATACTTCTTCATATTTCTATGAAATCTATCCAATCACCTTACATGCAAAACTATTTTTATTTCTTCTTCCCAAACTCCACCCCAAATTCCTCCCCAGCCTTACCCCATCCTTTGACCTTATGACTCCTTCCTTTTCTCTTAGGCTCTACATCACAAAAGCTCCCAAAGTCTACTCTGGAAACACTCAAATATCCTTCAGGAGTGGAAGAGGAAAAGAAATTCCATGGACAGTCAGAACCAACTTTTAAAGGTAAAGGTGGGGATGAGAAAGAAACTCAAAACATTGATGATTTTGGTCTTGTTCCATAGGCTTACATTTTCTTCTCTATGGACCAAGTACCTCCGTTTAACTTAATTATTAAATGGCATTCATTCATATTTTTAATTAAAAATACTTTATTGATAAAAAATACTAATACCCATCTGAGCCTTCAGCGAGTTGTAATCTTTTTGCTAGTGGAGGGTCTGACCTCAGTGCTGATGGCTGCTGACTGATCAGGGTGGTAGTCGCTGAAGGTAGGGGTAGCTATGGTAATTTCTGAAAATAATACAACAATTAATCTGGCCACATTGACAGATTCTTCCTTCAAAACAGATTTCTGTTGTGCTGCTGTTTGACAGCGTTTTACCCGCTATAGAACTTTGAAAACTAGAGCCAATCGTCTCAAACCCTGATGCTCATTTATCAACTAAGTTTATGTAATATTCTACATTCATCATCATTTCAGCAATGTTCACAGCATCTTCAGCAGGAGTAGATTCTATCTCAAAAAAACACTGCTCATCCATAAGAAGAAAACTCCTCATCCATTCATGTTTTATCATGTGACTGCAGCAGTTATGTCACATCTTCAGGCTCCACTTCCATTTCTAGTTTTGTTAACTATTTCTAGCACATCTGCAGTTATTTCCTCCATGGAAGTCTCGAACCCTTCCACATCATCCATAAGGGCTGGATTCAACTTCTTCCAAACTCCTGCTAATGTTGATATTTTGACCTCCTCCCAAGAATCATGAATGTTCTTAATGGCAGCTAGAATAATGAATCCTTTCCAGAAAATTTTCAATTTACTTTATTCAGATCCCTCAGAAAAAAACACTTTCTATGGTAGCTATATCTCAAATTAAGACTAGAAAGCTGAAAGGATTCCTTCATCCATGGGCTGCAGAATGGATGCTGTGTTAGTAAGCATGAAAATTACATTAATCTCCTTGAACATCTCCATTAGAGCTCGTGGGTGACTAGAAATCTTTTTCTGAGCAAAGTCTCAATAGTGGGCTTAGAATATCAAGGAAACCATTCTGTAAAGAGTTGTGCTGTCATTTACACTTGTCAATTTCCAGATCACAGGCAGAGTAGATTTATTATTATCTTATGGGTCTCTAGGATTTTAGAAATGATAAAAGAGTATTTAGCTTTGACTTTGTCAGCAGCTGCATTAGTCACTAACAAAAGACAGCATGTCCTTTAAGACTTTGAATCCAGGCATTGAATTGACTTCTCTATGATAGTCCTAGATGGTATCTTCTTCCAATATAAGGCTATTTTTCTCCTATGGAAAATCTATTGTTCAGTGTAACCACTTTCATCAATGATCTTAGCTGGATCTTCTGGATAACTTGCTGCATATTCTACATCAGCACGTGTTGCTTCACCTTGCACAATTTTTAATTTTAATTTTTTTTAAATTTTAGCCTTTATGAGCACATAGTAGGTGTATATATTTATGGAGTACATGAGATATTTTGATAAAGGTATACAATCAGTAATAATCACGTCAGGGTAAATCGGGTATCCATCACCTCAAGCATTTATCATTTGTGTTAAGAACATTCCAACTGGCTAGGCGCGGTGGCTCACACCTGTAATCCCAGCACTTTGGGAGGCCAAGTTGGGTGGATCGCCTAAGGTCGGGAGTTTGAGACCAGTCTGACCAACATGGAGAAACCCCGTCCCTACTAAAAATACAAAATTAGCCAGGCATGGTGGTGCATGCCTGCAATCCCAGCTACTCGGGAGGCTGAGGCAGGAGAATCACTTGAACCCAGGAGGCAGAGGCTGTGGTGATCAGGCCATTGCATTCCAGCCTGGGCAACAAGAGTGAAACTCCATCTCAAAAAAAAAAAATCCAATTATACTCTTTTACTTATTTTTAAATGTGCTATAAATAATCATTGACTGTAGTCACCTTGTTGTGCTATCAAATACTAGATCTTATTCATTCTATTTAATTACATTTTTGTACCCATTAACCATTCCCACTCCTCTCAGCCCCACCAGTACTCATGCCAGCCCCTGGTAACCATCATTCTAATCTCCATAACCATGAAGTCAATTGCTTTAATTTTTAGCTCCCACAAATAAGGGAGAACATGCAAAATTTGTCTTTCTGTGCCTGACTTATTTCACTTAACCTAATGTCTTCCAGTTCCATCCACGTGGTTGCACATGACAGGATTTCATTCTTTTGTATAGCTAAATAGTACTCCATTTTGTATATGACTATTGTGAATAGTGTTGCAATAAACATAGGAGTGCAGGTATCAACTCAATATACTGATTTCTCTCTTTTGGGTATATACCTGGCAGAGAGATTGCTTGATTACATGGAGCTCTAATTTTAATTTTTTGAGGAATCTGCAAACTGTTCTCCATAGTGGCTATTTTTAATTTACATTCCCACCAACATTGTACAAGGGTTTCCTTTCCTCTGCATTCTTACCAGCAATCATTGTTACCTGTCTTTTGGATAAAAGTCCTTTTTACTGGGGTGACATAGTATCTCATTGTAGTTTTGATTTGCATTTCTCTGATGATCAGTGATGTTGAACACATTTTAATAGGACTGTTTACCATTTATATGTCTCTTGAGAAACGTCTATTCAGATCTTTTGCCCATTTTTAATCAGAATATTAGACGTTTTTCTATTAACTTGTTTGAGATCCTTATATATATGGGTATTAATCCCTTGTCAGATGAATAGTTTGCAAATATTTTCACCCAATCTGTATGGTGTCTCTTCACTTTGTTGGCCATTTCCTTTACTGTGCAGAAGCTTTTTAACTTGATGTGATCCCATTTGTCCATTTAGCTTGGTTGCCTATGCTTGTAAAGTATTATTCAAGTAATTTTTGCCCAGACCAACATCCTTGAGAGTTTATCCAATGTATTTTTTAATAGTTTCATGGTTTCAGGTGTTAGATTTAAGTCTTTACTCCATTTTGATTTGGTGTTTGAATATGGTGAGAAATAGGGGTCTAGTTTCATTATTCTACATAGGAATATCCAGTATTCCCAGCATCATTTATTGAAGAGACTGTCTTTTTCCCAATGTATGTTCTTGGCACCTTTGCTGAAAATGAGTTCACCATAGATGTGTATGGATTTCTCTGGGTTCTCTGTTCTCTTCTTTTGGTCTAGGTGTCTGTTTTTATTCCAGTACCATGATGTTTTGGTTACTATAGCTTTGTAGTATAATTAGAAATCAAGTAAAGTAATTCCTCCAATTTTGTTCTTTTTGCTCAAGATGGCTTTAACTATTCTGGGTCTTTTGTGGTTTTATATAAGTTTTAGGATTGATTTTTCTATTTCTGGAAAGAATGTCATTGGTATTTTGATAGAGATTGCATTAAATCTGTAGATTACTTTGAGTAGTATGAACATTTTAACAATATTGATTCTTCCAATCCTTGTACGAGGAATGTCTTTCCATTTTATGGTGTGTACTCTTCAGTTTCCTTCATCAGTGTTTCATAGTCCTCATTGTAGAGATCTTTCACTTCTTTGGTTAATTCCTATGTATTTATTTGTGAATATTTTATCCCATTTACTAGGATGTCTATTTACTGTGTTGATAGTTTCTTTTGCTGTGCAGAATCTCTTTAGTTCAATTAAGTCCCATTTGTCAATTTTTTTTTTTTTTTTTTTTGCAATTGCATTTGGAATCTTCTTCAAAAAATCTTTGCCAAGGCCTATGTCCAGAATGGTACTTTCTAGGTTTTCTTCTAGGGCTTTTATAGTTTTGGGTTTTGCACTTAAATCTTTAATCCATCTTGAGTTGATTTTTGTGTATAGTGAAAGGGAGAGTTCCAGTTTTAATCTTCTGCATATGGCTAGCCAGCTGTCCAAGCACCACTTATTAAATAGAGTATCCTTTTGTCATTGCTTATTTTAGTAGACTTTGTTGAAGATCACATATTTGTAGGTGTCTAGCTTTATTTCTGGGTTCTTTAACTGGTTCTATTGGTCAATATGCCTGTTTCTGTACCAGTACCATGCTGTTTTGGTTAATGTAGCTTTGTATTTGTAGTTTGAAGTTAGGCAGTGTGATGGTTCCAGCTTTGCTCTTTTTGCTTAGGATTGCTTTGGCTATTCATGTGTTTTTAGTTTCACATGAATTTTAGAATAGCTTTTTCTAATTCTAAGAAGAATATCATTGGTAGTTTGATAAGAATAGCTTTTGGCAGTATGGCCATTTTAATGATATGGACTCTTTCAATCTTTGTGTCATTTCTGATTGTCAGCATTGTTTTGTAATTCTCCTTGTAGAGATATTTCACCTCCCTGGTTAGCTTTATTCCTAGGTATTTTACTTTTTGTGTGTGGCTATTATAAATGGCATTGCAGTCTTGATTTGGCTCTCAGTTTGGACACTCTATATAGAAATGCTACTCATGTTTATACATTGATTTTATACCCTGAAATTTTGCTGAAGTTGTTTATTAGATCAAGGAGATTTGGGGCAGACTATGGGATTTTCTATGTAAAGAATCATGTTGTCTGCAAACGGGGATAGTGTGACTTCCTCTTTTCCTATTTGGATGCTTTTTATTTCTTTCTCTTGCCTAATTGCTCTGGCTGGGACTTGAGGTACCGTGTTGACTAGGAGTAGTGAGAGTGCACATCCTTTTCTTGTTCTCATTCTCAAGGGGAAAGCTGCCAGCTTTTGCTTTCTGCATCAATTGAGATGATCACATGGTTTCTGTTTTTAGTTCTGTTTATGTGATGAATCACATTTATTGATTTGCGTATGTTGAACCAACCTTGCACCCCAAGGATAAAGCCTACTTTATTGTGGTGGATTAGCTTCTTGATATTCTACTGGATTTGGTTGGCTAATATTTTCTTGAAGATTTTTGCATCTATTTTCCTCAAGGATATTGGCCTGATGTTTTCTGTTTCATGTGTCTCTGCCACATTTTGGTATAGGAATGATGCTGGCTTCATTGAAGGAGTTAGAAAGGAGTCCCTCATCCTCAATTATTTTTGAAAAGTTTCGATAGGATTAGTATCAGCTCTTCTTTATACATCTGGTAAATTAGGTGCAAATCTATCTCATCCAGGACTTTTTCTGGTTGGTAGGCTTTTTATAACTAATGCAATTTCAGAACTCATTATTGGTCCATTCAGGGTCTGAATTTCTTCTTGCTTCAATTTTGGGAATTTATATGTTTCCAGAAATTTATCAATTTCTTTTAGGTTTTCTAGTATGTGTGCATAGAGGTATTCATATAGTCTATGATTTTTTTTTGTATTTCTGTGAGGTCAGTGGTAATCGTCCCTTTGTTATTTCTGATTTTGTTATTTTGTATCTCCTCTCTCTTTTTTCTTTATTAGTCTAGCTAGTGGTCTATCAATCTTATTTATGCTTTCAAAAAACAAACTTCTGGTTTGCTTGTCTTTCGTACAGTTTTTGCATCTCAATTTCATTCAGTTCAGCTCTGATTTTGATTATTTTTTTCTCCTGTTAACTTTGGTGTTGGTTTGCTTCTGTTTCTCTAGTTCCTGAATGTTTTATGTTATTTTGCTAATTGAAGATCTGTCTAACTTTTTGATGTGAGCATTTAGTGATAAAAAACTTTCCTCTTAACACTGCTTTAGCTGTGACCCAGAGATTCTGATATGTTTTATCTTTGTTTTCATTAGTTTCAAAGAATTTCCTAGTTTCTGCCTTAATTTCATTGCTTACCCAAAAGTCATTCAGGAGCTAGTTGTTTAACTTGCATGTAATTGTGTGGTTTTGAGGTATCTTCTTAGTATTGATTTCTATTTTTATTGCACTGTGATCAGTGAGTGTGGTGGTATGATTTTGTTTTTTTTAATTTGTTGAGAATTGTTCTATTGCCAATCATGTGATCTATTTTGGAGTAAGTGCCATGAGCAGATGGAAATAATGTATATTCTGTTGTTTTTGAAGGAATGTTCTGTAGATGTCTGTTAGAGCCATTTGGTCAAGTGTTGAGTTTAGGTCTCAAATAGCTGCGTTACTTATCTGCTTTGATGATCTGTCTAATACTGAAAGTGGGATATTAAAGTTTCCCACTGTCATTTTTTGCTTCTATAAGTCTCTTCATAGGTCTCTAAGAACTTATTTTATGAATCTGAGTTCTCCAGCATTGGGTGTGTATATATTTAAGAGTTAATTCTTCTTGAGTTGAGCTTTTTATCATGATGTAATGCCCTTCTTTGTCTTTTTCATTACTGTGGGATTCATGTCTGTTTTATTTGAAATTAAAATAGCAACCTCTCCCTTTTTACTTTTCCATTTGTTTGTACATTTTTCTCCATTTCTTTACTGTGAGCCTATTGGTGTCACTGCATGTGAGAAGAGTCCCTTGAAGACAGCATATCATTGGGACTTGCTTCTTTATCCAACTTGCCACTCTGTGCCTTTTAAGTAGGGCATTTAGCTCATTTACATTCAAGATTAATATTAATATATGCAAATTCAATCCTGTAATTGTGTTGTCAGCTGGTTGTTATGCAGACTTGATTGTGTGGTTGCTTTAATAGTGTCAATGCTGAATGTGCTTAAGTGTGTTTTTCTCATGGCCAGTAACAACATTGCCATGGTTGGAACTCTCTTAAGGAACTCTTGTAATGCAGGTCTGGTGGCAATGAATTACCTAGCACTTGCTTTTCTGAAAAGAATCTTATTTCTCATTCACTTATGAAGCTTAGTTTGGCTGGATATTAAATTCTTGGCTGGAATTTCTTTTCTTTAAGAATGCTGAATATAGGCAGTCAATCTCTCTGGTTTGCAGGGTTTCTGCTGAAAGGTCCTCTGTTAGCTTCATTGGGTTCCCTTTGTAGGTGACCAACCCTTTCTCTCTAGATGCCTTTAATATTTTTTCTTTCACATTGACCTTGGAGAATCTGATGACTATGTGCGTTATAGATGGTCATCTTGCACAGTATCTCACAGGGGTTCTCCAAATTTCCTGAATATGTGTGTCAACCTCTGCAGTCAGATTGGGGAAATTTTTGTGAACAATATCCTTAAATATGTTTTCCAAATGGCTTGCTTTCTCTCCCTCACTTTCTGGACTGCCAATAAGTTTTAAGTTTGGTCTCTTTGCATAATCCCATATGTCCCAGAAGTTTTATTTTTTATTTATTTTTGTCTGACTGAGTTGATTTCCACAATTGGTCTTTGAACTCTGATATCCTATCTTCAGCTTGGTCTATTCTGCTGTTAAAATTTCTGATTGTTTTACGAAATTCTTACTGTGAGTTTTTCAGCCCTATCAGATCAGTTTGGTTCTTTCTTAAAATGGCTATTTCATATTTTAGCTCTCGTATTATTTTATTGGATTCCTTAGATTCTATGGTTTGGGTTTTGACTTTCTCCTGAATCTTGATGGTATTCATTCCTATTCAGATTCTGAATTCTACGTCTGTCATTTCAGCCATTTCAGCCTGGTTAAGAACCATTGCTGGGAAGCTAGAGTACTTGTTTGGAGATGAGAACACACTCTGGCCTTTTTAGTTGCTAGAGTTCTTGACTGATTCTCGTCTGTGTGGGCAGATGTTCCTTTAGTCTTTGAAGTTGCTGGGAAGTGTTGCTTTCATATTCTCCAATGCCCTTGAGGGTTTGAATTTGGTATAAGTTGGATTCAGTTGACTGGCTTTGTTTCTGAATGATTTCAGTGGGCCAAGGCTCAGCTTAGCTCTCCTGGGCTGTGTGCTGTAACCCTGAGGGACTGGTATCATGCCCACGGCTTTGTCCTCTGGCCCCTCAAGGTTAAGCACCCACTTGCTGTAGGGGCCAAGGTGTTGCCAGTCTGATGACAAAAACATTTTGATGAGGGTTGCTGGCCAAAGCACTTTGATGGCATGGTGGTGCAGGATCCACACTCACAGTGGTAATGCAGCAGCATTCAAGTGCACACTTGCACTGACCTGATAGGTTTATCTTTTGGTCTTCCTCTACTCGAGATATAAGTAGTTTACACACAACAATTAGAGTGTTGTAGTATTCTGTATTTGTCTGTGTACTTATATTACCAGTGAGTTCTGTACCTTCAGATGATTTCTTGTTTCTCATTAATGTCCTTTTCTTACAGATTAAATAACTCTCTTTAGCATTTCTTATAAGACAGGTCTGGTGTTGACAAATCCCTTAGCTTTTGTTTGTCTGGGAAAGTCTTTATTTTTTCCTTCATGTCTGAAGAATATTTTCACTGTATATACTATTCTAGGGTAACAGTTTTTTTCTTCCAGCACTTTATATATGTCATGCTACTGTCTCCTGGCCTGTACGGTTTTGACTGAGAAGTTTGCTGCCGGACATATTAGAGCTCCTTTATGTTTCATTTTTTTTCTCTTAATGCTTTTAGGATCCTTTCTTTATCCTGGACCTTTGGGATTTGATTGTTAAATGTCTTGAGGTAATCTTCTTTATGTTAAATCTGATTGGTGTTCTATAACCTTCCTGTACTTGAATATTGATTCCTCACCCTAGGTTTGGAAAGTTCTCTGTTATCTCTTTGAATCTCTTTCTAACCCAACTTCTCTCTCTCTCTATCTTCTATTTAAGGCCAATGCCTCTTATATTTGCCCTTTTGAGACTATTTTCTAGATCTTTTAGGCATGTTTTATTCCTTTTTATTCTTTTTTATCTTCTCTATTTATTTTCAAATGTGTGTGTTAAAGCTCTTTCTTCATTCTTTTTTCTGCTTGTTTCATTCTGCTTTTGAGAGACTCGGATGCATTCTTCAGTTTGTCAATTGAATTTTTCAACTCCAAAATTTATGCTTAGATTTTTAAAAATTATTTCAATCTCTTTGATATATTTATCTGATAGAAATTCTGAATTCCCTCTCTGTGTTATCTTGAATTTTATTTAGATTCCTTAAAACAGCTATTTTGAATTCTCTGTAAGAAATGCCATATATCTCAGTCACTCCAAGATTGGTTACTGGTGTCTTATTTAGTTCATTTGATGAGGCACCCACCACCATGCCCAGCAATTTTTTTGTATTTTTCAGTAGAGATGGGGTTTCACCATGTTGGCCAGGCAGGTCATAAACTCCTGACCTGAGATGATCCACCTACCTTGGCCTCCCAGAGTGCTGGGATTACAGGCGTGAGCCACTGCACCCGGCCATCAAAGTCCTCTTTACTCTACCTTCTCTTTTCATCAAGTGGAAGGAGTCTCTCCTGGAGTTGCGAATTGTGCTGTCTGGGTTTGGGGGATGGGTGACACAAGCACTACCTTGGCCAGCCCAGCTGGTATCTCACTGGGTCACATGCATCCCATGTTCACTGGCTTCAAGCCCAGAACAACATCAGGACTTGCCCAGGAATTGCAGTCCTTGTGGCCTAGACTGCCTTTCAAGTTTATTTAAAATCCCAGAGCACTGTAGCCCATGGTGGTGGGGCTAGGTGGAATCCAGCTTCCAACTGCTGGGACAAATAATTCCTCTTTGACTGGGGCTAGTCTAAATGCTTCCTCTGTGGGTGCTGACTGAATTTTTATCTGTTCTTTTCTGCTGTGACAGGACAACACTGAGTTCCAATTAAAAGTCCCATAATCACTTCTCTTTCCTACCCCAAGCACACAGATTCTCTCTCCCCATACCACACAGTACTGCTAGGGGATGGGGAAGGAGTGGTGTTAGCAATTCAAGACTGTCTTTCCTACCTTCTTCAGTGCCTCTTTCCTTGATATGATGTTAAACTCAGCTACTGTAATTGCTCACCTGACTTTGATTTTTATGAAGGTGCTTCCATGTGTGGATAGTTGTTCAGTTTGGTGTTCCTGCAGGGGAGATAATCACTTCAAAGGGAATGGGAAGATGTTGGTCAAAGGGTACCAAGTTGCAGTTATGAATAAATCTAGTGTACACTATGACTATAGATTACAGGCACAGAGCCACAACCTGTGGCTCTGTGCCTGTAATCCTAGCACTTTGGGAGGCTGATGCAGGCTGATTGCTTGAGCTCAGGAGCTCAAGATCAGCCTGGGTAACATGACGAAACTCCATCTCTACAAAAAAAAAAAAAAATACAAAAATTAGCCAGATGTGGTGGCATGTGCCTGTGGTCTCAGCTACTCAGGAGGCTGAGGTGGGAGGATTCCTTGAGCCCAGGAGGCCAAGGTGGCAGCAAGCCATAATCGAGCCACTACACTCCAGCCTGAATGACAGAGCAAGACTGTCTCAAAAATTTAAAAAAAAAGTATGTATTGTATTTATTTTGGTTATCTCCATATTTTTGGAGATATCACAAGTACAACTGTGTGAGGAGATGGATATGCTACTTTGCTTGACTATAGTAATAATTTTACTATACGTTTATCAAACATTTTGTGTACCTCAAATATAAACAATTTTTTCTACAGTTAACCATGAAGGAAGACTTTACTCAGTCTATTGCAATAAGGGACGGAGACTGAAATCAACTCTGCTGAAACAAAAGGCAGGAAGGTTTCTAAGGTGAGCTAGTGGAAAAGCACTGAAGTACATTAAGGGGAAGGTTGATCAATGAGATTTGTCCAGCACATTGGGTTATTCCTGTTATTCCACAATTCACAAATGTTTTTCTCTGTGATCAGGCCACCTTTGTTTGCTAATCAGTGCCCATCTAAATTAGGCCTGTATGGAACCACAGAGACTGGAAGATGAGGTGCTGTCTTATTTGACATTAATACTTCAAAAAGATGTTTCTAGATTCTTCAGAAAGGCATTTCCTGGGTGGTAAAACTGGCAGGATGGCCAGTTCCAGATATCTGACTGGAGATGTCTAGCACTCACTTCCTTCACAAAAAAGAGTCAAAACGGTGAATAGATAACTACTCATCTGAGAACATTAAGGTTGTCTTGGTCACTAGTAACAATATTTTAGATGCTAAAATGCTGCTTGTAAATTCATGTCAGAATGCTAACATACTTCCATTTCTTCATCCCATCCCAAAAAGCACTCTAAGAAGATCACAATAACCATGTGAGGCATTCAGGGCACAAACACACTTTTGTTCTGCTATCTTTTCTCTGACACTCAGACCACCCTTGCCTATAGCAATCATGTTTGACTATAAGCTACTTGAGGAAAGACTCTTTTTAAATTAAATTTTATAGCTCTTAGAGGTGTTAATACAGTAATGTACAAATGATTATGTTCTAATAATATTGACTGATGCATTAAATAAATGAACATTCCCCTCCCTGGAGATACGTATCAAAGAGCTCATAGCAGAATCTGAACATATCTATGGTCAAAATCAGTTTACATGCCAAATCTATGTAATCTCACATCCACTGCAATCCAACCTTCTTTATTACAATAACAACCAAGTCAACCTTTTAGAATACAGCCACAAGACCAAAAATCCATTAGACCTGAGTGACAAATAGGAACCACAGAGTTCATGCAGATAGCTCCCTGATACCATAATAAGTATAAATGAGTTTTTTTAAAGGTTCCTGTAGAAAAATATGTAGATAACCAAAAATAAAAGTACTCATTTTATTATAAAGTGTTACATGTGCATTTAATACATGCACATTTAATGCATTTCCTACCAGGTGCCAGGTCCTTTTGAGAAATGAAATTAATTATTGAAAATATTGGAATATTGAAATATTGAAATTATTGAAAATATTGAAATTAATATTTTCACTGTTTGTCTCCATCAAATGTCTTATTAAAGGTAAGTAGACCTTCTGCTAGCCTATTTAGGTAAGAATATAAAAATGTAGGGTTATGGGCCTGGCGCGGTGGCTCACGCCTGTAATCCCAGACTTTGGGAGGCCGAGGTGGGCGGATCACGAGGTCAGGAGATCAAAACCATCCTGGCTAACATGGTGAAAGTCCGTCTCTATTAAAAATACAAAAAATTAGCCGGGCGTGGTGGCGGGCGCCTGTAGTCCCAGCTACTCAGGAGGCTGAGGCAGGAGAATGGCATGAACCCGGGAGGCGGAGCTTGCAGTGAGCCGAGATCGCGCCACTGCACTCCAGCCTGGGCAGCAGAGTGAGACTCCGTCTCAAAAAATAATAATAATATAGAGTTATGTACATGTGGAGTATTTACTAAATTGATCTGATCTTATATGAATTATTTCAGGCACTCTCGTCTTCATCTTAAAATGGAATGGGAATCTACATCATTTGGGACTTCCCATTACTCTCAGAAAATAGCCCACCTCTGCTTTTTGAAAATAATTCTCGGCCGGGCGCAGTGGCTCACGCCTATCATCCCAGCACTTTGGGAGTCTGAGGCGGGCGGATCACGAGGTCAGGAGATCGAGACCACGGTGAAACTCCGTCTCTACTAAAAATACAAAAAATTAGCCAGGTGCTGTGGCGGGCACCTGTAGTCCCAGCTACTCGGGAGGCTGAGGCAGGAGAATGGCATCAACCCGGGAGGCGGAGCTTGCAGTGAGCCAAGATTGCGCCACTGCACTCCAGCCTGGACGACAGAGCAAGACTCCAACTCAAAAAAAAAAAAAAAAAAAAAAGAAAAAGAAAATAATTCTCCTCAGCTGTATTTTGGTTCCCCTAGTTTTCCAGCTACTCAGAGTTTAGTATTACAATTATCTTATTATTGTTCTCATCTTGAATCATTTCAATAATCCTTAAAACATATTCAGGTTTTCATAAACTAAAAAAAAAGATAAGCATATATAAAAGAAAACATCTAAAGAAATCTGTATTAGTTGTCTAACATCACATAACAAATTACCCAAGATCTTAGTGACTTAAAACAATAAACACTTATTAATTCACAGTTTCTGTGGGTAAGGAACTCAGTTGTGGCTTACCTGGGGGTTCTGCCTTAGGATCACTTAAGATCTTAGTGACTTAAAACAATAAACACTTATTAATTCACAGTTTCTGTGGGAAAGGAACTCAGTTGTGGCTTACCTGGGTGGTTCTGCCATAGGATCACTTAAGATGTTGCAGTCAGGATGTCAGCCATTTCTGCAGGCATCAGAAGACTTGACTTGGTCTGGAAAATCTGCACATAAGACAGCTCTCTGCCATGGTGCTGGTTGGAAAAGTTCCTCTTTATGAGTTACTTGAGTGTCGGCATGACGTGATGGCTAGCTTCCCCCAGCATGAGCAACCTATGAAAGGGCATGACAGAACCTATAACACTTTTATGATCTAGAATCAGAAATCATACAGCATTATTTTTTCAATTTACTATGGCTTACACAAGTCAGCACTATTCCATGTGAAAGGGAATTACAGAGGGGCATGAATACCAGGAGACTAAGATCATTGGATGCCATATTGGAGGATAGCTATCATAACATTTTTCTCTTGTTCCCACCTATCTATTATATTTGCTAAACAATGTTCCTCTCTGGTTTTGCTGCCAAGCTCCTAAAATATTTGATCTACATCTTTCACGTCCTCTCTTTAAGGATTCTAATTCCTTCTTATCCTTTTTGTCATCTACTTCAGTGCATACAACTCCATGAAACTATTTCCTCAAAGGTTACTAGTTATCTCTTTCTGCTAAATGTATGACGTTTGCCTTTCCTCAGACTTGTCATTCAACATTTTAAAGTGTTTGCTACTATGAACAACCCCCTAGTGACATTTCCTCATTCTTTGGCATCTTTGGCACTTTATGGGCTTCTTCCATCTCTTTGATGCCACTTAGCTTCTCCACTGTGTTTCTATCTATGGAGTGTTCTCTAAGTTCACACCTCCATTTTTCTCCCTATAGTTTGGTCTCATATATCCTCACTGCTTTGGCTGTGACATTTAGTATCTGGCCATTAGTAAATATGTATCTCCTTCCCTACTCAATCATGGTATGTTCTTGCCAGCTGCCTACTAGCATCTTCATTCTCTAATCTCTAAGAAATTCCCACTGATTCTTCCTTCAATACCTCTTTGAAGAATCTGCCTTATCTCTTTCGTTCCAACTACCACTACTGTAGTCCAAGCCCTCTCTATCTCACAACCAGATCAACACAGCACTATTTTAGCTGATATATTTACTGGACTCGAGGGCTGACCTTGCCTTTTCTTTAATAAAACTGTCATACGCTTTTCCACTACATCTTCTTTAAAAATTCCTTTTATCTTTTTATTTTTAATCATGAAAAGATTCATTATCATCTGATTTCAAATCTAAACTCCTTAGACTAGTTTCTGAAACACTTAATGTGTTTTGGAACCACACCATTTGGCTACCATACTTAATTCCTTATTTTCTTTATTTCTTACTCTTATTTACCTTATTTTTCCTTAATGAGGTTAATCTACTCATTGTCCTGCAAATACACAAATTTCCACATTTCCTTTCTTTAATTCTATTCTCCACCACACACACAGAAAAATATGCTCTTATTTATGTCCTCCATTTTATGAATTTTCCAGTCTCAGTTTCCACAATCTCAATGAAATCTTCTCTGACTACTTTGTTTCATACTAAACTGTTTGATTTTTTGGTTCCTGATGCCCTATTAGTCACCCACATCTCTGATTCTTCATATGTTAGTTTTATTTCCACAGCTCAGTTGTCGGCTTCTAAATGCTGGATTTATTTATTTCTTCTCATATTTCTTTTAAAACATCTAAAATAGTCTACAAGTACCATGCTGAGCACATAATAGGCCATGAATAAATATTTATTGGTTAACTAAATGAGGAAAACAACTAGAAAATTCCCATGGCATTTGGCAGAATGACTACAGGCAAAAGGCTCCTTCTCAAAATATATTATCTAAAAGTGCATTTTCCCCATGTGTCAATGAAAAAACAAATGACTTTCTTCTAGCATAGCCAAAGTTAGCTCTTAAAGCATGTGTAAAATCCAAAAGACAGAATTTCTGAAGGCACAACTGTTTAACTAAAAAGACAGATACGCAAAAGAATTGCTTCATTTAACAAGTACAGAGGAAATAGATCACATTCCAAAAGTAATTTGATAATTTTGGCAGCTGGAAAATAATTTTATAAAAATTTAAGCAATAAGGCTGTTGTCTTGGATTTGTTAAGGGAAAGGAAATTTTCATAAAGCCAAAAAAGTAAAAGAAGAACTTACATATGTGAGTATCAGGAAAAGAAATAGTGAGGATAATTGTATCACTGAAGAAACATCTTTTTTTCTAATTCAAGCATATAAAAAATTAATGTGACTATTAACAACTATGACCTCTCTATAGAAAGAAAATATATCCGTACTTCCCCCAGAGTCTCACAGTTGTTGTGTCCTCCTTTGGAAGCAATATTATGTCTTGGAACCTGTTTGAGGCTCTGCAGTCAGTGGAACTGTTCATTACTAGCTGAGTGACCTTAGGCAAGTTACTGAATCTGGAGGAAACTTACCAACCTCACAGAGCTGTTGGGAAAATTAAATGAGATTATGTATCTGAAGGAACCTGGCATGGTGTCTGACTCATGCTGGCCAATACATCTTAGTCTCTTTCCATTCTGATTAGCAGAGATAAAGAGATATTGGGAGACAGAACCACACTAGAGTAGGAAGGAGGAAACTGGGACTATTTTCCAGGTTGAGCTGCTACTTAGATATTATGGCAGGAACAGCAAATTTTCTTACAGATTCCATTTTCTTCACTTAAAAAGATTTTTTAGTTTTAATTTTTGTGGGAACAGGGTGGGTATATATATTTATGGGGTACATGAGATATTTTGATGCAGGCATCCAATGTATAATAATCACATTATGGAGATGGGGTATCCATCTCCTTAAGCTTTTAACCTTTGTGTTACAAAAAACATCCAATTGTAATTGTTTAGCTATTTTTAAATATACAACTAAATTATTTTCATTATAGTCACAGTGTTGTGCTATCAAATACTAGGTATTCATTTTTCTAAATATTTTTTATGCTCATTAAACATCCCCATCTACCCTCAGTGTCCCCACTACTTTTTCAAGTCTCTGGTAAACATCCTTCTACTCTCTATCTCCATATGTTCAATTGTTTTGATTGTTGCATCTCACAAATAAGTGAAAACAGGTGATGTTTGTCATTCTGTGCCTGAGCCTGACTTATTTCACTTAACATAATGGCCTCCAGTCCCATCCATGTTGTTGTAATTGGCAGCATCTCATTTTTTATGGTTAAATAGCACTCCATCATGCATAAGGACCACATTTTCTTTATCCTTTCATCTGTTGATGGTCACTTAGGTTGCTTCCAAATCTTGGCAATTGTAAACAGTGCTATAGCAAACATGGGAGTGCAGATATCTCTTCTACATACTGATTTCCTCTCTTTTGGGTATATACCTGGGAGTGAGATTGCAGGATCACATGGTAGCTCTATTTTTAGTGTTTTGAGGACGCTCCAAACTGTTCTCCATAGTGATTATACTAATTTACATTCCCACCAACAGTGTAAAAGGGTTCCCTTTTCTCCACACCCTTACTAGCATTTGCTATTGCCTGTCTTTTGGATAAAAGCCATTTTTACTGGGATGAGATGAGATCTCATTGTAGTCTTGATTTGCATTTCTCTGATGATTAATAATATGGAACACCTTATCATATGCCTGTTTGTCATTAGCATGTGTTCTTCTGATAAATGTCTATTCAGAGCTCTTGCCCAGTTTTAAAAATCTTTTAAGTTCAGGGGTACATATGCAGGTTTGTTACATAAGTAAACGTGTGCCATGGGGGTTGGCTGTATAGATTATTTTATCACCCAGATATTAAGCCTAGTACCCATTAGTTATTTTTCTGGTCCTCTCCCTCCTCCCACCCTCCACCCACCGATAGGTCCTAGTGTGTGTTGTTCCCCTCTATGTGTCTCAGCATTTAGCTCCCACTTATAAGTGAGAACAGGAGGTATTTGGTTTTCTGTTCCTGCATTAATTTGCTAAGGATAATGGCCTCCAGCTCCATCCATGTCCATACAAATAAGGTGATTTCGTTCTTTCTTATGGCTACAGAGTAGTCCATGGTGTATATATACCACCTTTTCTTTATCCAGTCTATCATTGATGGGCATTTAGGTTGGTTTCATGCCTTTGCTATTGTAAATAGTACTGCAGTGAACATACACATGCATGTGTCTTCTTAACAGAACAATTTATATTCTTTTGGGCATATACCCAGTAATGGGATTGCTGAGTCGAATGTTATTTCTATCTTGAGGTCTTTGAGGAATCACCACACTGTTTTCCATAATGGTTGAACTAACTTACACTCCCACCAACAATGTATAAGCATTTCTTTTTCTCTACAGTCTCACCAGCATCTGTTTTTTGACTTTTAATAATAGCCATTAGACTGGTGTTAGATGGTATTTCATTGTGGTTTTGATTTGCATTTCGCTAATGATCAGTGATGTTTGTGCCCATCCTTCTTGAGGATTTCCAGGTATTTGAAGGGACTTGGGCCCCAAGTCCAATATCACTGTGGCTTTGGCAGACTGAAAGAGATACCACCTTGGTTGTCTTGGATAAGATCTGCAAGAATTCTCTGGGTAACCAGGCAGAGACTCTTGTTCTTTTCCCTTACTTTCTCCCAAACAGAGTTTCTCTCTGTGCTGAGCTGTCTGGAACTAGGGGTGTGGTCATGAAAGCACCATGCTAGTGTTAGCACGGCCACTAGGTCTTGCCTAAGGCCCGCTGTAACAACCACCTGGCTACCACCTTTGTTCACTCAAGGCCCTAGGGCTCTACAATCAGCAAGTGAAGCCAGTGCAGTTTGTGTCCTTCCCTTCAGGATGTTGAGTTCCCCCAGGCGGGTCCAGAGATGCTGCTTGGGAGCCAGGGATTGGAGTCAAGAATCTTAAAAATTTGCCTTATGTTCTATTCTTCTGTGGCTAAGCTGGCATTCAAACCACAATATATATTTCTCCCCATTCTTCCCTCTCCTTTCCATAGGCGAGGAGCCTCCCTGTGAGCACTGCCACCACCACTGGCCTATCATGGGGTTCTGCCAGGTCACCACTGATGTTCACTTAATGCCCAAGGGCTCCTCATTCATCTTGTGGTGAATGCTGCCAGTCCTGAAACTCAGCCTTCAGGGCCATGGGCTCTGCTCTGGCCCCAGGGCAGATCCAGAAAGGCTGTTCAAGAGCCTAGTTCTGGAATCGGGAACCCCACACTTTTGCTTACGGCTCTACCCCACTGTTGTGGAGCTGGTACCTTAGGTGAAAGACAAAGTCCCATTTACTTTTCTCTCTGCTTTTCTCAAACAGAAAGGTCTTTCACTGTAGCCACCACAGCTGGGAATGTGCTGAGTCACGTCTACAGTCAGCATGTTTCAGAGTCCAAGGACCACAGCATACTACTTGGTTATCTCTGCTGGTTATTCAGGCACCAAGGACTCTTTAGTCATTAGGTGATGTATCCTGCCAGGACTGGGTCCTTCCTTCAAGGCAATGGGTTCCCTTTGACTCAACATGTGTCTAGAAATGTCATATGGGAGACAGGGCTTGAAAAGGGGACATCATAACCCTGACTGGTGCCATATCCTACTGTGGCTAAGCTGGTAACCAAGATGCAAGACAACTCCTCTTTACTCTTTGCTCTCCTCACCTTAATTAGAAGAAATAGGACACTTTTGTTGTCACAAGCTGCTCTGCCTAGGGTTGGAGTCGAATTGGCTCAAGCACTTCTTCAGCCACTCCAGCTGGTGTCTCCCTAGGTCATGTGCCCCCTAGTCCTCTGGCTCTGAGCCCAGCCCAGCACTAGGATTTGCCTAGGAATTGCGGTCCTTCTGGACTGCCTTTCAAGTTTACCTAAGACTCCAGAGTACTTTGGCCTATGGTGCCAAAGCTTTCCAAGAAGCTGAAGTTCTGACCGATGGGATGAGTGATTCCCCTTTTGCTAGGTCTGGTCCAAATGCTTTCTCCATGTGCTGGCACTAGCTGAGTCCAGGCTGGCTTTTCTCTCTGCTATGACAGAGTAGCAATGAGTTCAGTGTATGCCTCCCAGTCACTGTGCTCTCCCTACCCTAAATGCACAGGCTCTCTGCACTACAGAGCCATTGCCAGGAAATTGGGAAGGGGTGATGTCGCTGATTCAAGACTGTCTCTCCAACCCTTCTCTATGCCTCTTTCAATGATACAAAGTTAAAACCAAGTACTATGATTGCTCACCTGAGTTTTGGTACCTGTGATGGTTCTTTTCTGTATCCAGTTGTTAAAATTTGGTGTTTCTGCAGGGAATATGAATGGTGTAGGCTTCTATTCTGCCATCTTGCTCCATCCCTCCTCTTCTTATAGAAGCCCCTGAGTTTTAATGGGTAGCCAAATAAAGATATATTTCTTTTGGCTTCCTGGAGTTTCTAACTGATTTATTTGCAATGCCGTTTGGTAGACCAGATACTACTTTACTACCATTCACCACTAACTTCAGTCCTACGCTCAGCCAAATGACAACATTCATGACTCTTTTTTGATACCTATGGGCTCTTCTGTGTATGACCACTGGACCAGATGATCTCTAAGAAATCTTCCAGCAATCAGTGGTTCTGGGAAAACACATGGGATGATGTTCATTTCTCTTAGTCGATATTGCAATTACTTAGTGGGTTTTCTCTTTTTCTCAAAATTTAACAGGAAATTTGAAATGATCTTGGTTTTAAAATTCTCAGATGTCTTCTGCATGTTAAACCTATCAAATATTTATTTAGGAGACGGATGGCATATTGTGGTTGCTGTAACAAAATACCATAAACCTGATGGCTTAAAACGATAGATTTTTTTATTCTTTCACAGCTCTGGAGGCCAAAAGTCCAAATTCCATGTGTCAGCAGGGCCACAAAGACTCTAGGGGAGAATCATTCCTTTCCTCCTCCAGTTTCTGGTGGCTCCAGGCCTTAGTGGGTTGGTGGTTGCATCACTTCAATACTTGTTTACATCTTCATATGGCCTTATCTATATCTTTGTCTGCTGTCTCTTACCAGGACACTTGTCATTAGATCTTGGTCTCATCTCAAGAACTTTAGTCCCATCTGCAAATATTTTATTTGTAAATAATATCACATCCACAAGTTCTGGGGATTAGGACTTGGATATATGTTTTGGGGAGTCACCATTGAACTCACTACAGATGGCTACATAAACAATCACTTATAAAATACATGCAGTAGAGCTATCTCATACTCTAACAAGGAAATAATCATATTTCCCTTTTTAACTATTTACAAAAAAATGAAAAATTTGTTTTAAGATATTTTCATATGAATTGTGAAGCTACACATTTAAATAGCAATCTTTTCAATCTATCAATATCTTCTACATTATCATAGCATTTTCATTATTGTGAATTTTGTTCTAATTTTGGAATTTACTACTTCTTAAATAGATAACAATTATTTAGAAAGAAGTCTTGGAAAAACCAATTTTTTTCTTCTGTTTAAAGAAACAAGTACACATAAATACAATCTTAAAATTCAACATAAAAGTATGGAGAAAAAAATTATTCTCCTTCAATATTCCTTTCTTAATCCCTCTCTCTTCCTTAGACAAATAACAGTTTAAAATTTCTTTCCGAAACTTTTGGGCATACATAAAGGACAGTTGTTTGTGGGTTTTTTTGTTTATTATAAATGAGATTATGGTCAGTGAATTGCATTTTCTCTTTACCAATACCTCTTGAAGATATCTGTCTACATGGACATCTATACTATTATTTTTGTAACTGCACAATATTGATAGAAATAATGCGCCATAATTTGTTGATGAACATCTAATTTACTTTCAAATTTTTTATATCACAAAAATGTTTTAATGTCATATATCTTTAAGAACGTGCAAATATTTCTATAGGATAGATATTTAGAGGTAAAATTCTTTGGTCAAAGTTATGCACATGTCCACTTTGATTTATCCTGCTCATTTGTCTTGCAAAATGCTCTGTGAAAGGGACAATTATGGCTAAAGAATAATCCTTATGTGGTCAATTAACCAGCTATATTCTTCTATAATAGCTGGACAGATCATGTGGGCAAAAGGATATACATGTATATGTTTATATGCATCTGTATATTTTTATGTACATATGTGTGTGTGTGTGTGTGTGTGTGTGTATAATATACTGTTTGTTTTTTCTATCTAGGTGTTATAGAAAGCCACTTAGCATCAGCTGGATAAATTAGAAAAAAAGTCACTTATGCTAATATCCCCCCATCCACCCAAATAGGCTAAGCATCATACACTCAAATAAGGAAAAAGAGAGCCATTTTTTTCAGTGTAGTAAACAAACCACAATAAAAAAAAAAAAACCTAAAAGAAAAAAGTAGCATCTGTTCTGCTTTATGGACCAGTGCCATGGTCCCAAGGCAGAACACTCTCTCAGTTCAAGAATTCGCCCTGAGAATGGAGGCAGCTCCAAAATATCTAATGGAGGCATCTTAAATCAACACAAGAGCTCAATTCAACAATGCCATCACAACTCTGTACTTTTTTCCCAACAGTTCTAGCAGAAGAAAACTTGCTAAAAGTTATATGTAACTTGAATTCCAAGGTGATCTGAATAAAATGAGTGCAGCACCACAAATTATGTATTTAGATGCTTTTCAGCTAATCTAGGAAAGAAAGAATATCTTTTCCTCAGGCAAAAGGTTAAACTGGAGTGACAGTAGCATAAAAAAACTTATTGTGGTGCCTCAATAGCTGTCACTCCTGACTTCGGCACTCAGCATAATTATATCAACATAGTAATAAAAATAATTCCAAAGTATTTGAACATGGTATGTCCTTAAAACAGGTTGACAACTAAGGATGCACATATTTTGAAGGTAGCAGACTTACAGCTCTTTAAAATGCAGCAGGAAACTGCATTTCTAAAATACAGGAATACATAGAATTATTTATCAAGTCATTATAGAATATTTACAGCCTTAGAAAATTTATCATGTTCCATTAAGTAGAGTTTGCTTCCATCAAGCTATTCCTTATGCAGAGCTTCAAATACCCTTCATCTAACCTCACTGAAGTCCAGTGTACACTTTCTGCCTCTGAAATATCTCCACATATATCCTTATCACATATTTGGCAAAATAGGGGGTCAAGCAATAAAAACCTGATAGGTTGTATTGCATGGAATTGCTTTCTGATCAAAATCTAAGATGCATAAAATGTTGGGTTGTTGCAGAGTTTGTTGTATTTACAACAAAGCAGAAAAGTTAGTCAATTTAAACATATGAAATCGGCTGCGCTAAAGATTAGAACACCCTGGGGATCAGAGACACAGTTCAGGATGGCTGAGCACTGACAGTGTGACATATTTCAGGACAAAAGGATTTTGTACTGGGGGAATGATTCCATTCTACCGACGAGCAAATGGAGCAAATGATTATTTTTGCATTCTTTATGTGTTATTCTTTGACTTCTCTTTTCACCATTTGGAGATCAAACTGTTTTTGGCTGTTCTGTGACTTTTTTAACCAACGATCGGATACCTTTTTCTCTGCTTGTTTTCACTTGTTTTTTATTTATTTATTTTGAGATATAATTAACACTCAGTAGTATGCACAGCCAGGCACAGTGGCTCATGCCTATAATCCCAGCCCTTTGGTAGGCCGAGGTGGGTGGATCACTTCAGGTCAGGAGTTCGAGACCAGCCTGGCCAACACGGTGAAACCCCATCTCTACTAAAAATCCAAAAACTAATAATAATTAGCTAGGCACGGGGCATGTGCCTGTAATCCCAGCTACTCCAGAGGCTGAGGCAGGAGAATCACTAGAACCTGGGAGGCAGAGGTTGCAGTGAGCCGAGATCACGCCATTGCACTCCAGTCTGGGCAACAGAGCAAGACTCTATCCCAAAAAAAAAAAACAAAAACAGTATGCACAAACTTCAACTGTTCAGTATGATGAGCTTTAATAATTATATACAGCTATGTAACCAACACTGAAAAAATACATTTAAAAAAATCCCTTGTGCTCTGTTCCAGTCGATTTCTGTCCCCATCCCCACATTAACTATGAGATTTCTATCAGCATAGATTACTTTTCCCTGTATTCAGATTTCATACAAATGAAATCCTACAGTATATGCTTTTTATCACTTAATATAATGTTGTTGGTTATCCTTTCTATCACTTAATATAACGCTGTTGGTTATCCTCCATGTTGTTCTGTATATCAATAGTTTTAACTGCTAAATAGTGGTCAATTGTATGAATATACTACAATCTATCTATCAAGTCTCCCATTGTTTGATATCTGGGTTTGTTCTAGTTTTTGTTATTATAAATCTGGTTGCTATATCTTTTTACATGTCACGTTAATACCTATGAGTAGTATTGCTAGGTCATAGGGACTGCCAGTTTTCCTAAGCATTTTTATCACTTTACACTCCACCAGCAACATATGAGAGGTTCTTCACTCCACATTCTCACCAAAATAAGATGTTTTCAGTTTTTTTTTTAAATTTCAGCCACTCCTGTGGATGTTTAGTATAGCATCTCATTGTTGCTTTAGTTTGCAGAGCCTTATATCTAGTAATGTTAAAGACTTTTTAAATGTATTTATTGTTCATTCATAGATTTTCTTTTGTGAAGTGTTTAAGTCTATTGCACATATTTCAATTGGGTTGTCTTTTTGTAGTTGATTGGTAGGAAATTTTTATCTATTCTGTATACAAGTCTGTTGTCAGAAATTCTTTGAATTTTATTTATCATTTTGAGATTTACTTATTAATTTTTAATGGAGTCTTTTGATGAGCAGAATTTTAAATTTAGCCTAATTTTAGTAATTAACTTATTGTCTCTTATGGTTGATGCTTTTTGTGTTCTATCAAATACATCTTTGCCTAACCTGAGGTCATGAAGATATGTTTCTTTTTTCTTCTAGAAGCTTTATAAGTGTCATTTTATGTTTAGGTCTGGGATCCATTTTGAATTAATTTTTGTATATGGAATAAGAGTGAAATTACATTTTCTTCCATATAGATATCTAGTTGTTCCAGCAACATTTGTTGAAAAGACTTTGGCCAAAGAATTGCTTTGGCACTTCTTTGAAAATCACTTGACTACATATTTGAAGTTGAAAATCACTTTACTGAGTATTTGTGGTTTGTTTGTGTTCTATTAATTTATTTGCCTATGCTTATGCCAATACCACAGTTCCCTGATTACTATACGTTTATAGTAAATTTTGAAGTCAGGTAGTCTTAAGTCCTCCAATTTTGTTCTTTTTCAATATAGGTTTTGCAATTCTATTTTCTTTTCATTACCATATATAATTTAGAACTATCTTGTCTATTTCTTCAGAATAGCCTGTTGACATTTTGATAGAGATTGCATTGAGTCTATCTATCAGTTTAGGAAGCCTAGACATTTTAACAATGTTGCATTTTCCTATCGAGGAACATGCTATACTTCTCCATTTATTTAGATCTTTAATTTCTCTCCCAAATATTTTATAATTTTCAGTGTAGAGGTGTTACATATCTTTTATTAGATTTACTCTTTCTTCTCCAAGGTTTTTTGATGCTATTACATATTTTTAACTGCTATTTTCCAACTGGTGGTGGGATGGCAATTTGCTCTATGGCTGGGGCCCTTGTAATTCCAATCTATTACAAGAGCCCACACACGGTTATTAAACATGCATTAGCAGGTCAGCTGGTTTCTGCCTATCCTGTCTGTGATTAATTCTTCTAGAAAGGAGAACAGTGATAAATCTCTTCTATCCTATAAAGAGTTTCTCACTCTCTGATGTCTTGTTCATTTGGGTTTCTTTATGTGCTCAGCTTTATGATGTT
Source organism: Homo sapiens (assembly GCF_000001405.40). NCBI lineage: Eukaryota > Metazoa > Chordata > Mammalia > Primates > Hominidae > Homo > Homo sapiens. The sequence continues at coordinate 89,894,143 of NC_000007.14, forward strand.
TTTTAAAATATCATTTTTATACCTTATCTGGTTTGTTTGGGTTATTAATTTAAGACTAACGGTCTTTTGTGACTTTTTACATCCAAACTAGAAATCAATCAATTATGTGGTTTTTTAAAATAGTTTTAAGGTAACCTTCCTCTTTACTATGTCTGAAAGTACAAAAAGGAAATGAATCAAATAGTGGTCAGGACAACAAAATCATAAAGAAATCTGTTGACTTATGGCTTGCTATGTGCTAGGTCCTAGATTTACAAGTATCACCAAATTCAGTTCTTAGAACAACCCTATGAGGGAGGCATGACAGTCATTATCCCCATTTCACAGCTGAGTAAGCTGAAATACAGAGTACATAACTAGTTTGTCTGATGAAACACAGCTCTTAAATGAAAAAACTGGGATTTAAACACAAGTAGTATGGGTTTCGAGCCTACATTCTCACCACCTTCTCTTCAATTTCCCTCTAACAAATCTTATCATTTCTACATTTACCCTCATTTCCCAAGTACGATAGCTATCTGGAATTTTTAACTGTAAGTGCTCATTTCTTTATTGAGTTGTGCCGCTTCTGCAATTTTCATCTGCAATTTTCATCTATACAATCTCTTACACTCACTTAGTATTTTTATATAATAGATACAACTTATTAAGTGCTCATATAAAAGATATTGTGTGTTATTAACAGTAGTTTTGTATATATTATTCACAAATATCACAAAAATTCTTAAAGATAGATGATGTTGTTCTCACTCTATTTGGGGGTCCAAATTAAGTTCCAAAGCAAGCAATTGTCTTAATTCACATAAAAATTAGTCAAAGGGTGAAATTGGAATCTGACCAATCTTGGGTTTAAAGCCCATGTTCCCTTTACCACTCCACACAGCCTCTCTCTCATGAATGACTCTCCGAGTCTTCTGAACTCATCGTCACAACTCCCTTTCCTCATATTTTATTAGGTACTCTAACTGGGTATTTATTTAAATGCTACTTCTTTGTGTATCATTACTTTATTTTTGCTTCTGCTATTTTAAATTCATTTGTTTGAAGTTAAGGCCTCAATGTCTACTGGAGCCTCCTTTGGAGGATATTCTTAAAACTGAAATTTAGATTAAAAAATATAAATGACGAGTTAATGGGTGCAGCACACCAATATGGCACATGTATACATATGTAACTAACCTGCACGTTGTGCCCATGTACCCTAAAACTTAAAGTATAATAAAAAATATGTATATATAAGGAAATAATCATTAATGGAAATGAGTGAAAGAAGTCAACCAAGCAGACTTTCAGATGTGTACAGTAGATTGGGGTCTGGGGCCCATACTATGGGCAGGACCTGGTTCTCAGCTACTAGAGTTAGGAGAAATAATGCAGAATCTCTCTGCTCATTCTCATAAAGGTATGAAATTACATATGATTCCACATTACCATTATTACCATTTTTTTTCAAACAACCCCTCATACCAACTTTATCTACTTCAAAATACAATACACAATTAATGTCCATTTTAACATGGATTCAACAGAATGAAAGGAGATCAAAAAGGCTCCCAAACTCCTCAGGGCTGACTCTGATACTTGCACTCCACCACCATTACTGCCAGTAAAACTTGTCCAATTCTAGCCTCATATATCAAAAATCTCATGCATAGCTTCCACATGCATATAGTTTCTTGAATCATTTAGATAAAAGAAGAAAAACTCTATAATAAGGGCTTGCAATCGGAGAGACTGTCACTTGATCTACTAATACTCAATTTATGGTAGGCCCTATGCAAAAATCTATAATTCGTAATTTTGCACCTATTTCTGAAATTTAATGGCACTTAACAAGATTTAAAAATACTGAACGCTTATCTTCATTCTCAGTACAGAAACCCTTCAGAGAAAAAATTCTGCTACTCTCTTAGGACTGAATCTCATTTCAGACACATGTTCCTTTCTATAGCTCAGGTGTAATTATTTAAATGTCATTAAATCCTTCAAATCTGTTTGATAAAGTAATTGAAATTAATTCATGTAATTTATTTTACTTTCAATGATAGAAACGTGTGCACATAAATGTCACTGCACTGCCAAACCCAGTGGATCGCAACTGAGTTTTCTTTCTGAGGATTTCTAGTCAGCAGGGATTTTAACTTCCAAATGCAAAAATTTCTCTCTTGCAGCACATAAGTGGGCTGAGGCACTAATTAGCAAGTTTCATTAGTAAGAAATTCTCTCATTCAGGCCTATGACCAAAGAGATGAAGCTAGGACGTTATTGAGACCAAGTTCCTGCTCTAAAGCGATCCCTGTAATACTATCACAAATTATAATAGTGCTTTTTATTTTTTTCTTTTATTATACTTTAAGTTTTAGGGTACATGTGCACAATGTGCAGGTTAGTTACATATGTATATATGTGCCATGTCAGTGTGCTGCACCCAGTAACTCGTCATTTAACATTAGGTATATCTCCTAATGTTATCCCTCCCCCATCCCCCCTGCCCCCACCCCACAATAGGCCCCGCTGTGTGATGTTCCCCTTCCTGTGTCCATGTGTTCTCATTGTTCTATTCCCACCTATGAGTGAGAACATGCGGTGTTTGGTTTTATGTCCTTGTGATAGTTTGCAGAGAATGATGGTTTCCAGCTTCATCCATGTCCCTACAAAGGACATGAACTCATCCTTTTTTATAGCTGCATAGTATTCCATGGTGTATATGTGCCACATTTTCTTTTTTTTTAGGTTTACTTTTATTATTATTATTATTATTATTATCATTATTATTATACTTTAAGTTTTAGGGTACATGTGCACAATGTGCAGGTTAGTTACATATGTATACATGTGCCATACTGGTGCGCTGCACCCACTAACTCGTCATCTAGCATTAGATATATCTCCCAGTGCTATCCCTCCCCCCTCCCCCCACCCCACAACAGTCCCCAGAGTGTGATGTTCCCCTTCCTGTGTCCATGTGTTCTCATTGTTCAATTCCCACCTATAAGTGAGAATATGTGTTGTTTGGTTTTTTGTTCTTGCAATAGTTTACTGAGAATGATGATTTCCAATTTCATCCATGTCCCTACAAAGGACATGAACTCATCATTTTTTATGGCTGCATAGTATTCCATGGTGTATATATGCCACATTTTCTTAATCCAGTCTATCATTCTTGGACACTTGGGTTGGTTCCAAGTATTTGCTATTGTGAATAATGCCACAATAAACATACATGTGCATGTGTCTTTATAGCAGCATGATTTATAGTCCTTTGGGTATATACCCAGTAATGGGATGGCTGGGTCAAATGGTATTTCTAGTTCTAGATCCCTGAGGAATCGCCACACTGACTTCCACAATGGTTGAACTAGTTTACAGTCCCACCAACAATGTAAAAGTGCTCCTATTTCTCCACATCCTCTCCAGCACCTGTTGTTTCCTGACATTTAATGATTGCCATTCTAACTGGTGTGAGATGATATCTCATTGTGGTTTTGATTTGCGTTTCTCTGATGGCCAGTGATGGTGAGCATTTTTTCATGTGTTTTTTGGCTGCATAAATGTCTTCTTTTGAGAAGTGTCTGTTCATGTACTTTGCCCACTTTTTGATGGGGTTGTTTTTTTCTTGTAAATTTGTTTGAGTTCATCGTAGATTCTGGATATTAGCCCTTTGTCAGATGAGTAGGTTGCAAAAATTTTCTCCCATTTTGTAGGTTGCCTGTTCACTCTGATGGCAGTTTCTTTTGCTGTGCAGAAGCTCTTTAGTTTAATTAGATCCCATTTGTCAATTTTGGCTTTTGTTGCCATTGCTTTTGGTGTTTTAGACATGAAGTCCTTGCCCATGCCTATGTCCTGAATGGTAATGCCTAGGTTTTCTTCTAGGGTTTTTATGGTTTTAGGTCTAACGTTTAATTCTTTAATACATCTTGAATTGATTTTTGTATAAGGTGTAAGGAAGGGATCCAGTTTCAGCTTTCTACATATGGCTAGCCAGTTTTCCCAGCACCATTTATTAAATAGGGAATCCTTTCCCCATTGCTTCTTTTTCTCAGGTTTGTCAAAGATCAGATAGTTGTAGATATGCGGTGTTATTTCTGAGGGCTCTGTTCTGTTCCATTGATCTATATCTCTGTTTTGGTACCAGTACCATGCTGTTTTGGTTACTGTAGCCTTGTACTGTAGTTTGAAGTCAGGTAGTGTGATGCCTCCAGCTTTGTTCTTTTGGCCTAGGATTGACTTGGTGATGTGGGTTCTTTTTTGGTTCCATATGAACTTTAAAGTAGTTTTTTCCAATTCTGTGAAGAAAGGCATTGGTAGCTTGATGGGGATGGCATTGAATCTATAAATTACCTTGGGCAGTAGGGCCATTTTCATGATATTGATTCTTCCTACACATGAGCATGGAATGTTTTTCCATTTGTTTGTATCCTCTTTTATTTTCCTGAGCAGTGTTTTGTAGTTCTCCTGGAAGAGGTCCTTCACATCCCTTGTAAGCTAGGTATTTTATTCTCTTTGAAGCAATTGTGAATGGGAGTTCACTCATGATTTGGCTCTCTGTTTCTCTGTTGTTGGTGTATAAGAATGGTTGTGATTTTCGTACATTGATTTTGTATCCTGAGACTGCTGAATTTGCTTATCAGCTTAAGGAGATTTTGGGCTGAGACAATGGGGTTTTCTAGGTATACAATCATGTCGTCTGCAAACAGGGACAATTTGACTTCCTCTTTTCCTAATTGAATACACTTTATTTCCTTCTCCTGCCTAATTGTCCTGGTCAGAACTTCCAACACTATGTTGAATAGGAGTGGTGAGAGAGGGCATCCCTGTCTTGTGCCCGTTTTCAGAGGGAATGCTTCCAGTTTTTGCCCATTCAGTATGATATTGGCTGTGGGTTTGTCATAGATAGCTCTTATTATTTTGAAATACGTCCCATCAATACCTAATTTATTGAGAGTTTTTAGCATGAAGGGTTGTTGAATTTTGTCAAAGGCCTTTTCTGCATCTATTGAGATAATCATGTGGTTTTTGTCTTTGGTTCTGTTTATATGCTGGATTACATTTATTGATTTGCATATTTTGAACCAGCCTTGCATCCCAGGGATGAAGCCCACTTGATCATAGTGGATAAGCTTTTTGATGTGCTGCTGGATTCGGTTTGCCAGTATTTTATTGAGGATTTTTGCATCAATGTTCATCAAGGATATTGGTCTAAAATTCTCTTTTTTGGTTGTGTCTCTGCCCGGCTTTGGTATCAGGATGATGCTGGCCTCATAAAATGAGTTAGGGAGGATTCCCTCTTTTTCTGTTGATTGGAATAGTTTCAGAAGGAATGGTACCAGTTCCTCCTTGTACCTCTGGTAGAATTCGGCTGTGAATCCATCTGGTCCTGGACTCTTTTTGGTTGGTAAGCTATTGATTATTGCCACAATTTCAGAGCCTGTTATTGGTCTATTCAGAGATTCAACTTCTTCCTGGTTTAGTCTTGGGAGAGTGTATGTGTCGAGGAATGTATCCATTTCTTCTAGATTTTCTAGTTTGTTTGCATAGAGGTGTTTGTAGTATTCTCTGATGGTAGTTTGTATTTCTGTGGGATCAGTGGTGATATCCCCTTTATCATTTTTTATTGTGTCTATTTGATTCTTCCCTCTTTTCTTCGTTATTGGTCTTGCTAGCGGTCTATCAATTTTGTTGATCCTTTCAAAAAACCAGCTCCTGGATTCATTGATTTTTTGAAGGGTTTTTTGTGTCTCTATTTCCTTCAGTTCTGCTCTGATTTTAGTTGTTTCTTGCCTTCTGCTAGCTTTTGAATGTGTTTGCTCTTGCTTTTCTAGTTTTTTTAATTGTGATGTTAGGCTGTCAATTTTACATCTTTCCTGCTTTCTCTTGTGGGCATTTAGTGCTATAAATTTCCCTCTACACACTGCTTTGAATGCGTCCCACAGGTTCTGGTATGTTGTGTCTTTGTTCTCATTGGTTTCAAAGAACATCTTTATTTCTGCCTTCATTTCGTTATGTACCCAGTAGTCATTCAGGAGCAGGTTGTTCAGTTTCCATGTAGTTGAGCGGTTTTGAGTGAGATTCTTAATCCTGAGTTCTAGTTTGATTGCACTGTGGTCTGAGAGATAGTTTGTTATAATTTCTGTTCTTTTACATTTGCTGAGGAGAGCTTTACTTCCAACTATGTGGTCAATTTTGGAATAGGTGTGGTGTGGTGCTGAAAAAAATGTATATTCTGTTGATTTGGGGTAGAGAGTTCTGTAGATGTCTATTAGGTCCGCTTGGTACAGAGCTGAGTTCAATTCCTGGGTATCCTTGTTGACTTTCTGTCTCGTTGATCTGTCTAATGTTGACAGTGGGATGTTAAAGTCTCCCATTATTAATGTGTGGGAGTCTAAGTCTCTTTGTAGGTCACTTAGGACTTGCCTTATGAATCTGGGTGCTCCTGTATTGGGTGCATATATATTTAGGATAGTTAGCTCTTCTTGTTGAATTGATCCCTTTACCATTATGTAATGGCCTTCTTTGTCTCTTTTGATCTTTGTTGGTTTAAAGTCTGTTTTATCAGAGACTAGGATTGCAACCCCTGCCTTTTTTTGTTCTCCATTTGCTTGGTAGATCTTCCTCCATCTTTTTATTTTGAGCCTATGTGTGTCTCTGCACGTGAGATGGGTTTCCTGAATACAGCACACTGATGGGTCTTGACTCTTTATCCAATTTGCCAGTCTGTGTCTTCTAATTGGAGCATTTAGTCCGTTTACATTTAAAGTTAATATTGTTATGTGTGAATTTGATCCTATCATTATGATGTTAGCTGGTTATTTTGCTCGTTAGTTGATGCAGTTTCTTCCTAGTCTGGATGGTCTTTACATTTTGGCATGATTTTGCAGTGGCTGGTACCGGTTGTTCCTTTCCATGTTTTGCACTTCCTTCAGGAGCTCTTTTAGGGCAGGCCTGGTGGTGACAAAATCTCTCAGCATTTGCTTGTCTGTAAAGGATTTTATTTCTCCTTCACTTATGAAGCTTAGTTTGGCTGGATATGAAATTCTGGGTTGAAAATTCTTTTCTTTAAGAATGTTGAATTTTGGCCCCCACTCTCTTCTGGCTTGTAGAGTTTCTGCCGAGAGATCAGCTGTTAGTCTGATGGGCTTCCCTTTGAGGGTAACCCGACCTTTCTCTCTGGCTGCCCTTAACATTTTTTCCTTCATTTCAACTTTGGTGAATCTGACAATTATGTGTCTTGGAGTTGCTCTTCTCGAGGAGTATCTTTGTGGTGTTCTCTGTATTTCCTGAATCTGAATGTTGGCCTACCTTGCTAGATTGGGGAAGTTCTCCTGGATATATCCTGCAGAGTGTTTTCCAACTTGGTTCCATTCTCCCCATCACTTTCAGGTACACCAATCAGACGTAGATTTGGTCTTTTCACATAGTCCCATATTTCTTGGAGGCTTTGTTCATTTCTTTTTATTCTTTTTTCTCCAAACTTCCCTTCTCACTTCATTTCATTCATTTCATCCTCCATAGCTGATACCCTTTGTTCTAGTTGATCGCATCAGCTCCTAAGGCTTCTGCATTCTTCACATAGTTCTCGAGCCTTGGTTTTCAGCTCCATCAGCTCCTTTAAGCGCTTCTCTGTATTGGTTATTCTAGTTATACATTCTTCTAAATTTTTTCAAAGTTTTCAACTTCTTTGCTTTTGGTTTGAATGTCCTCCCGTAGCTCGGAGTAATTTGATCGTCTGAAGCCTTCTTCTCTCAGCTTGTCAAAGTCGTTCTCCGTCCAGCTTTGTTCCGTTGCTAGTGAGGAACTGTGTTCCTTTGGAGGAGGAGAGGCGCTCTGCTTTTTAGAGTTTCCAGTTTTTCTGCTCTGTTTTTTCCCCATCTTTGTGGTTTTATCTACTTTTGGTCTTTGATGATGGTGATGTACAGATGGGTTTTTGGTGTGGATGTCCTTTCTGTTTGTTAGTTTTCCTTCTAACAGACAGGACCCTCAGCTGCAGGTCTGTCGGAGTACCCGCCTTGTGAGGTGTCAGTATGCCCCTGCTGGGGGGTGCCTCCCAGTTAGGCTGCTCAGGGGTCAGGGGTCAGGGGTCAGGGACCCACTTGAGGAGGCAGTCTGCCCGTTCTCAGATCTCCAGCTGCGTGCTGGGAGAACCACTGCTCTCTTCAAAGCTCAGATGGAAATGCAGAAATCACCCATCTTCTGAGTCGCTCACGCTAGGAGCTGTAGACCAGAGCTGTTCCTATTCGGCCATCTTGGCTCCTTCCCCTGCCACATTTTCTTAATCCAGTCTATCGTTGTTGGACATTTATCTTGGTTCCAAGTCTTTGCTATTGGGAATAGTGACACAATAAACATACGTGTGCATGTGTCTTATAGCAGCATGATTTATAATCCTTTGGGTATATACCCAGTAATGGGATGGCTCGGTCAAATGGTATTTCTAGTTCTAGATCACTGAGGAATCACCACACTGACTTCCACAATGGTTGAACTAGTTTACAGTCCCACCAACAGTGTAAAATTGTCCCTATTTCTCCACATCCTCTCCAGCACCTGTTGTTTCCTGACTTTTTAATGATCGCCATTCTAACTCGTGTGAGATGGTATCTCATTGTGGTTTTGATTTGCATCTGACAAAAGGCTAATATCCAGAATCTACAATGAACTCAAACAAATTTACAAGAAAAAAACAAACAACCCCATCAAAAAGTGGGCGAAGGATATGAATAGACACTTCTCAAAAGAAGACATTTATGCAGCCAAAAGACACATGAAAAAATGCTCATCACCACTGGACAAGCGCTTTTGAAAAACCAGGAAAGACCATAGCAGCAAATAGAATCCCTTTAGAAACTGATTTTGGCATGCCTGGAACAGATGCTACAATCACTTCTAGTCAGTAAGCACTCATGAACAACAAAACTGCTACAGGCAAAATGAGCTAATATCTGACCCAAACTCATGTTCACAAAGTCGCTTCAAGATCTCACTTCATACATTTCCCTACATATTTTTTCAGGTGAAACTACAACCTGCCTTTTCTTGAGTAACCCGCCCTTTTGTCCGCTTACAAAGCACAACAGTGTAGATAGTGTTTGGCTGGCCTGTTAGAAAGTTGATTTGTCATTGCCATTTGTCTAACGCATGCTTGTTACAGAACAAGGAATATGCTTTCAAATAAGGGTATGAAATGTGGTTTGATGAAACACAGTGAGTGAAGGAAAACTTAGTCCTTGCCTGTGTACTTGTAACATACTAGTCAGTCTGGTGTGGAATATAATAATCTACAACTGATCTGAGCAAATATTTCTCTCTGATTAGAGGACAGTGATGATAGAATATTCCAGCAAAGTTAAAAAGGAAGAATGTGGTTTCTCCCTATGGTGTAATCCCAGGAGGAGTTCACTGTTCTTCCTATTTCAGAATTGCTGACAGTTGAAAATTATCTTCAGTTACTTTATTATCTGTTTAGATTTGAAGATAAATGAATCAAACATCTAATTTAATGCAGTCATTTAATTCTACTGGTTACCTATTCTCTTCTATACAATTGAGTTTTGTATTTCATATCAAAGGGTATCTTTATAGCAGATTAATATCTAAACCACTAGAAAAAACCTTTATAAGTGAAGATGTTTATATGCTCATACATATTTAAAAAATACTTGCATTCTGTGAAAACTACAAATGTCAAGTGACTTACAGACAACAGGAAATCATATTGAATTTGTGATTAACATTATAGTAATAACTACATCGCACAAATACACAGATGTATATTTGTTGCCATGATAAAAGTTTCCTTAAATTATGTGATTTGTAACATATCTTAGCACAAGTCATATTTTCCTTGGTGACCCATGTTACCTCTAAAATATCCACTGGTAAATATATGGACAGAATGTTTATTTTCTGTTTGGACTACAAAATCTACATAGACGCATGCAACCTTTAAAGCAATGCAACCATTAAGTAAAGCAAATGACTAAATTTCTGTGTTGTACTTTCAGCAGTGCCATGTAAACATGAGGCCTGAGGGCACGCTTTAGCAGTTTGCTCTTGCCCTTCTTCAGGTCTGCCCCTCCACATGGGTAAGGGAACTGCAAGGCCAAGGCTCTGGGAGCTTGGAACTCTGGAATTACTAAGTGGGAAGCTATGGATGAAGCTTGCCTATGAGGACCAAAGTGTACACACATATGTACAAAAGGCACCAAGCATCTTGTAATGCAAAACTGATCTTGGCAAAAGAACTAAGAAGCCATAGGCCTACATCTCGGTATACCTGTGAAGATCTAAGTTTTCTAAGAATCTTCAATTCTGACATGGTCTTCCAGTTCATTCCAAATGCATATTCACATTTTGTATCAAAATATGAGGATAGCTCATATTTTGTAATCATTTTCTTACCTTGATTTATAACTTTTAAATATTTAGATATATGATATTTAATTACTATTTTTAGTTATACCTTCATCCTAACACAGTTAGGACCAGGTTTTATCTTTAATAAAGACCCCAATCTTCCTAAGCATGACTCACTTTTCCACTTCACTGCAGAATGGTTTGATTACAGGCTCTAAAAAAATAAACAGAACTAATTGCCTATACATAATACATCATAAGTGCCACAATATGCAAGCAAAAGAGGAAACATGCTGCACACATATATTATCAGATAAAGTGCAACAAAGAACATAAATGTATTATTCATGACATGAAGTGAAATGACTAATGTCTTTAAAACTACATTGCTCCCTACCCATGGACATAAAATGAATTGTTTTAAATGTGTACATGATGACATTACAAGCGTTACTAAATAAATTTAAACACTTCAACGGGAGCTATGAAAAAAAAAAAACGGTCAACTATAAAATTACCCAAATTACATTTTCTCAATTTTTAACAAAATTATAATCATGTTTTTGTCTTGCTTATTAAAAATTTCATAAAGTCAAAAGATATGCAGAAAATAAAGAATACATGTGTATAACTCCAGAAAATACATGGAAAGAGAAGGAGTTTATCATTAAAGTCTTTGCCACAATACACTTCTCTTCATAATGCTTGAAAGAAATCTTCATAGCAGAGTGAATCAAATGGAATATGGTAGACTGGTAACAGAGGCAGAATCTATCTGCATTAGTGCATGGAATGCATCAAGGACCTGACTTTTTAACTTATTAAACATATCTGTACCAGATTTTAGGACAATAAGAAACTCGCTTTAAGTCAAAGGATTGAGAAATCTCATATTGATGGGAATTACACATTCTTTTTAGCTAGTATCCCAAGTGTTATACCCAAAATGGCTCACTAAAGTAACATGAAAATGCTTTAAAAATAGAATACTTGATGATTCATAAAAATAATTAAGGACTGTGTTGGACCAAAATTTTATCATGATGAAGAATAATTTTGCTACCAACAGAAAAATAATGCAGCATATTTTGCAAATTCTTATGCATATTTTGCTCTTTTGAAAGTCTATATAAACATCGACTTACATTCTTTAATTTTTATTATAATCACATAACTACAATAAACAGAAGCTCAGATTTGCTTCTGACTGTCACTGACAGAATCAACATATATTGTCTGAAATTTCCAAAGTCAGAGGCAGTAACATTAATTAATGAAAATTACAATGGTTTTGCTTTGAAATTGTGAACTTTTACTTTTTTTCTTTTTAATTATTATGGATACATAATAGTTATATGCATTTATGAGGTACTTTGATACAAGCATACGAGGTGCAATGATTAAGTGGGGATAATTGAGATATCCATCACCTCAAACATTTATCATTTCTCTGTGCTAGGAACATTTCATATCCACTCCTCTAGTTATTTTTAAAACATACAATAAATTGTTGTTATAGTTGCCCTGTTGTGCTACAGAACACTAGCTCTTATTCTATCTAACTGTATTTTTGTACCCATTGACCATCCTCTCTCTATCCCCCTCCTCACCACCCTCCCCAGACTCCAGTAACTATCATTCTACTCTCTATCTCCATGAATTTAATTTTTTTAGTTCCCACATATGCATGAGAACATGCAATGCTTCTCCTTATCTGCCTGGCTAATTTTACTTAATATAATGTCTTCCAGTTCTATTTATGTAGTTGAAGATGACAAGATCTCATTCTTTATTATGGGTGAATAATATTCCACTGTGTATATGCACCACATTTTTTTTAATCCAGTCATCTATCAAAGGACACTTGGAATGATTTCACATCTTGACTATTGTGAATAGTGCTACAATAAACATGGGAGTGCAGATATCTCTTCAATATATTGATTTTATTTCTTTTGGATATAACTCAGCAGTGGGATTGCTGGATTTTATGGTAGTTCCATTTTTAGTTTTTTGAGGAAACTCCATACTGTTCTCCATAGTGGCTGTACTAATTTACCTTCCCATCAATAGAGTACGAGGGTTCCACTTTCTCCAACATCCTCACTGGCATCCATTATTGCCTGTCTTTTTTTATAAAAGCCATTTTAACTGGGGAGAAGTATCTCATATAGTTTTGACTTGCATTTCTCTGATGGTTAGAGATGTTGAATATTTTTTCATGTAACTGTTGGCTATTTGTATGTCTTCTTTTGAGAGATATCTGTTCAGATATTTTGTCCATTTTTAATTGGATTAATTTGCTTTTTTTTCTGTTGTGATGTTGAATCTTGTCTTTTTCTTGTACTTTTCTAAAACGCTTGGTAATGTAAGAACAGAATATCAACAATGTAGAATTTTACTAGTATGTTCATACAAATGCACTTCAGAAACAAAAAAAGAGCCAAAAGCATTACTACAAAATAAAAGAAAATCATTGTCAATATTCAGTTATGATTTTGCAAAATCTGTATCCATAGCAAAAACTGTTCTTTGGTTAATTTGAACTATTCCCTCTGATATATTCAATTTTCTGTATTAAACTAAACAAGAAATATGATCCTAAACTAACAGGGAATGAGTATAGGAAGGAAGAAATAAAATAATATCCCACTGTAATCAGAGTAGAAGAATGTATTAGTTACATGGAAAGGCATTTGTGCAGTATTCTTCTCAGGTTCCTTTACATTTATCCAATGATTGAAAAGACAGCATCTACTGTAGTAAAATGACGCCTCCAATTTCACAGAAATACAAGGGAACAGGAAAAAGTTTTAAGTTGCAGTAAGATTATTTTAGCTTAAAGTACAAAGAAATTGTTGAAAAAATAATACTCTACACAGAAAGTTTTTGGAAGGAAACACATTATAACTGGTCTGTTGTACATATATTTCTTGCTAGCAAAACAAGGTCTCTTTTCTAACCCACTATATAATTTGCTCTGATGTAAGTTGAACCTTATGTAGTTCATCAATGTTAGAAACATAAACTAGGGCACTGAGATTGTATAAAACTAAGATGTACTTCTTTGCTAACACAGACATTATTCCATAATCATTTACAACAATGTATCATTTATCTTTAATTCTAGATTTTCCTTTTGAAATTTTGAAATATATGACTCTAGCTGCCTTCTGCATGAATATAGAATTTTTTAAGAGTCAGTGTACTTTTTAAAGAATAAATTGACTCCTTTTCACACATAAGTCAAAAATGGCAGAAAATATTTTGCTTTGATTTAAAAAAAATGACACCAGCTGAAACCCAAAAATGTCAAGTAGATACTCATTCCATTTTTAATGGGGTTTCCTTTCAAAAAATAATTTCAATATTGTTTAGGTATTCTTAACGCCCCCAAGACACAAGGAAGAGTAGAAGAAAGACGAGTGCCATGAAGTGAGAAGAATCCAAAATTAATGATATATAATAAAAATCAAAAAAGCAAAGAATAGTCCCATTTTATTAATCAGTTTGATTCCTGAATATCTACTGTGTCGTCACAACTGGTCTAGCTATATATTATCTAGGAATGTATAAAGAAACCAAGTAAATACACATGCAGCAGAAAACAATTGTTTACTACACAGTTTAGTAGTGGCTTTGTAAGCAATAGGAGTTTCAAGTATCAAGAAATCTATGTTTATAGGGAATGTTCAGCAATTATTTTCAGGATGGAGAGGACAAAAGGAAATAGACAATGAAAGCACCAGGAAGTGGAAGGAGACTGGAACTCAAATTCATTGAAAATGTCCAACAAAACAAGCACTGTCCTTTGTGTTTTTGTTGTATGACAGAATTTCCCTCGATTATGGTTATTCATGTGGGAGGGAGTCATGATATATTCAAAAGAAGACAAACAATGTCACCCCCTTGAAGTGGCTCTTTACAAGACACAGTGAACTTAGGTATCAAAGAGAAAATAAGAGAATATTTAAACTAATTACTTGTAAAATGAGTGAAGGAGGAAGAGCTGAATAAAACAATATGTAGACAGTAATAAAATTCATATTGAAGGTGTCTTCTGGAAAAGATAATGCATTCAGGATCAATGAGTATATTTTCCAATTCCACAACTCAGAAACCAGTTGTGATGATTCAAAAGAAATGAGAATAACACTAAAAACAAAGAAGGGTGCCAAACGCCAACACAGGAATACCTGCAAGATATAATGCAGACTGAAAAAAAATATGGATTAATACACAACTCCTGTTTTACAAGAAATCAAAATAGTTCTGCAAGAAGTACAAAGAAAATTTCAGCAACTGGTTTTAATTTGAAACAGTAAAGGCTAGAGGAATCGTGTTGTCACGGGAAAGACAAAAGATATGTCACTTTAAGTTTTACTCCTCACAACACTCTAAGGCCATGAAGTAGTACCTATGATGAAAGCATTTGGCTACAACCCCAGAGAGATGCAGGATGTAGCATTCCCACACTGAGCAAGCTAAAATCCAGACAAAAGGATTATATACAGCCAAACTTTCTTGGATTAAAAGCAGGCTGGAGAGAAAACAAAATAAGGAAAATCAGCCTGAATTCAGTAGTTTCAAAAGATAATAAGAATTAACTTTACAGGAAATAATTCACCATAAATGCAGATATCAGTATACTTCCTCAGCCTAGTTAATAATTAAAGTCATAACATTTAACTGTAAATCTTGCCTTTCAATTGCATTTTGAAGGGCTAATTATGAGACCTTTATAGACAAAGAGGAGAACCAAGGAGAATTCACGTTTAGTGTTTTTGAGCAGATGGAATACCTGGTTAGAGCTGCCCCAATACAAAGTCAGTCTTATAAAAACTCATGAAGAAACTCTGCAACATAAACATGAAACTAAACATAATATGCAAAGTACAGGTACAAAAGTATGCTTTTGAAGATGTACTAAAGGCAGCAAAAGAAAATCATTTTAAAAACTGCTTTCCTCTCTCAAGAAAATTAAATAAAATAGATTCAAACGTGATAAGCAAATATGCTTACATGAAAAGGAAGATTATGGGGTTAAGCTAAAATATTTTGTTTAAATCTCTGAAGAGCTTAAAATGGCATTAGAGGACATATAAGCTTAGAAGCTATTGAAAAATAAAAGTAGAATCAAAAGTGTCAAAAAATCAAATCACTGCTTTGGATAAGAGGCTTTAAAAATCACTCAGAATATGATGTAAAGAAAAGTAAGAGACATTGAGAATAGACAGCAGAAATCCACATTTAGGAATAGGATTTCCTGGCAAATCCTATTTGAAAACAGAACAGATGGAATAAAAATAATATCCAAAGTATATTAAAAGAGTATTTCCCTAGTCAAATATAAACTGCATTCACCTCAAAATAAAAATCAAACATTAACTTGAGGCAAGCAAAAATTGAAACACAGCATGCTAAAAGTTATAGGGTACGGCAAAAGCAGTTCAAAGAGGGGATTTTATATTGGCAAATACCTACATCAGAGAAAAAATAAATATCTCAAATAAACAACCCAACTTTACACCTCAAGGAACTGGAAAAAGAACAAACTGACCCCAAAGTTATTATAAGGAAGGAGATAATAAAGATCAGAGCAGAAATAAGTTAAATAGAGTCAAGAAAAACAATGGAAAAGATCAACTGAAATAAGAGTTGATTTTTTGAAAAGATAAACAAAATTGACAAGACTTTACCTAGACTAAGAAAAAAAGAGAAGATTCAAATAAATAAAATCTAGGTGAAGTTATTTAATGAGAATTGTCATCTCAATTGAATCTGGGTTTATTCAATTTTTGAGGACAAAGAAAGAACGCTTCAAGCATCCAAAGAGAAGAGACATTTCACCCACAAAGAAAAAAGGATTTGATCACATCATTTTTTCTACTTGACTTTATTAAATGCTAGATAATCTCTACCAATGTTTGCAAATATTAAAAGGAAATGGTTCTGACTCATGAAATCTGTAGTCTACTAAATCACGATTCTGGAAAATTAGCAAGGGATAGAAATTTTTTATTGAAAAAATGATGTAGGAACTACATCATTTATGTGACATTTCAAGGGGAAAGAAACTGTTTGAAGATATACACCAGTGAACGAACACATAAATCAAAATCTACAGCCCACAAATGATTAATTTGTTAGTGAGCATTAAATATATATTCATTTATTTTTAAAACACACACACACGCACACACACATATATATATTATGTATACAGAGAGAGAGAGGGAGAGAGACAGAGAGACAGAGAAAGAGAGAGAGCATGCACGAAAGAGAGAGGCAAGTATAGTAATGGTGGAAAATCCAGTTACAAAATATAAATTAATAAGAGAGATTAAAGAAATTGAAAGTTTTCCAAGTCTCCATCTTATAGAGAAGAAGTCAGTTATCATAGTTGATATTTTTAATAATACAGAATCCTGAAAGTTTTTTAAAGTGTTAGAATAAATCTCTAGCAATTTGAAGGCCTTCCAAATTAAAAAAGAAAAAAAAAAATCAGAGAAACTCAGGCCATAAAAGAAAACAAAACAAAGAGATAAGAAGTATTAAACAAAGTTGCAATATCAGTAAGAGGCAAATTCAGATTTATCATACAAACTTCAAAGGAAGAAAGAATGATACTTCTATGGATAAAAGGACAATGTTCAAAGGCTATTAAATTGTCATCACTTTTCTGCATCAAATAAAGCAAAAAAAAACAAAGCAAAAAGGATTGGAAATGAAAGTTGACATTAATGGAAATGAGATAATGCAGTAAAAGCTTGTTTAACTGACTTTCTAGATTAATTGACATCGTCTAGTCCTCTGTCAAATATAAAACATATCCATAGCCGTTTAAACACTAACCACTGACAGGTTCCTTCTACTGTATGTGCATACTCTTCTGTTCACATCAGTTGAGTTGTATGCTTACCAAGAGTCAGTTATGTTTTTCCAGAACATGCTTACATTTGTTACACTTGATATCTATATTAGGCATGATATCGTATATAAAATATTATGTATTCAATGAAATAAATGTGTAAAATGTTTGTACTTAATTGAAACTAAATGAAACACTTTGTGAGGCTTTAATGTGGTTCCCTTAAAATGTTCTGTCAAGTTAGGTGTAAGCTAAAAAACATAAATTATTGAGAGATGAACTATCAACTGCAAAAACCTAGACATATTATTGTACACTCAGATCACTTTCAAAAATGTTTCTAAATTCTCACTCCACTTAAAAATCCACAATCAAAAATAACAGACCTTACATAATGGGTATGATTTAAGCCAGAAAAATAATAGAACTCCAGTTTAGGGCCCATATTCCTAGAAAGGCCGTGTATCACAGAATTACCAAACAAATATGTAATCTGTATGTTTTCAGCCAAAATAAAAGGTTTTCAATAAGTACAGATATTCTTCTTTATCTACTACCTTAGCAGACATTTTTTGATTAATTGATTTACTCCAGTCCTGATCATTTTAGATGGAGTGCTTCTATTGTTGTGAAAATTTTAACACTCCTCTCTCAGTATTTGACATTAAATAGTTTAAATAAAGTGAGGTTATGGAGGTGACTAATAATAATAAATAATATAGTATCTAAATTTGGTTTTATAGATTTATGCCTAGACCTATTCCCTGCAAAAAAAAAAATACTCCTTTTTAAACTTCCCTTGACCATTTATAAAAACTGACCACATATTAGACCATTTGCTATAAAACGTACATTTTTACAGTAGTGATATTAGAGTTTACATTACTTGGCTATGGTGAAAATATCCTGAAGCCAGAGAATATCTTCTGTGTTTCAGGACACAAGGGATTCAGTATAACTAAAGCAGAATGGCCTTATAGGCCAGTTATAAGGACTTTAACTCAAACTTTGAAGACTTAAAGTAAAATTATCTATATTTTATGGTTTTCTTTTTAAAATTTTCATAGAGTAAAATGTATTTTGTATGGATTTTACTAAATGCACAGAATCATGTATCTACCACCTCAGTATCATATAAAATAGTTTTAACAGTCTGACAACTTCAACAAAAATAGGATGAAAGAATCAAGGACATGAATAGAGGAACCAGTTAGGAGGCAATGGCGAAAATCAGAAATAACGTATGGCTTGAACCAAAATGGTGGCAGCAGAGGTGGTTTAAAGTTTTTAGATTCAATAGGTAATTTTTAAGGGTAAAGCCTGCTTGATATCCTGCCAGAATGGATGTTAATTAAAAGCGAAAGAGGATTCAAGGATGAATCTAAGTTCATTTTAAAAAGCAAATAAAAGGACGATTTTGAGATGGGGATGATAGAAGGGTGAGTTCAAGTTGAAATATTAATTTTGAATTGTCTATAAGATGTCTAAATAATGAAAGAATCAGTATTTGAATATATGACTATGAAGCAAAGAAAAAGGTCTTGACCCAATATATAAATTTGAGAGTTGTCAGTATATAGATGGCATTTAAAGTCATGAAATAGGATAATATCAACAACGAACTATGTGTAGACAGGAAGGAGGTCCAATGCCTTAGCTTAGGATGTTAGAGAGGTTGGAGAGATTAAGAAGAACCAGCAAAGGAGACTCAAAAGAAGCAGTCATTGTAAACAAAGTGAGTAATAATTTGTGAGCCAAAGCAAGAAAATGTTCCAAGGATAAAGGAATAATCAACTGTTTCAAATTCTGTAGATAGGTCAGTTAAGAAAAGGACTAAGAAATGCCATTGGATTTCGCAACTTGGAGGCCATTGGTGACCCCCAAGGACACCCTTAAAAAAGTTCTGTGTATACAGTCTGATTGAAGTAGGCTCAATCCAAAAGAGAAAAGAAGAATTGGAGCCAATGCAAACAGCCAAATCTTTTGAAAAGCTTTATTATAAAAGAAAAGAGAGAAATAATGGTGGTGATAGTAGGAAGAAAAAGTAGAAGCAGTTGGGTTTGTTTTGATAAGATAATAAAAAATCACTACATGCTCATTCACAAGTTTAATGGAAAGGAAGAATTGATAATACAAGAAAGAGAAAGAACTGCTAGAGTGAATTTCTTAAGAGGATGAGAGAGAATGAGAGAGAATGTGTATGAGTATGGGGGTTTTCTTTGCTGGGAATTTAGACAGTTCATTTATAAAAAAGGAGTCTGGGCATAACACATGAGCATGGATACAGGTAGGTAGAGAGAAAAGAATGGATAGACTCAGGCAAATCCTCTGATTGTTTTCATTTTATCATCAACAGCAGAGAGTGAGAATGAGGGAGGAGATGACAGAAGTTTTATACGAAACAAAAGAATCTGAAAGGTTATGTGAAAAATGAATATATGAGGGAAATATAATATAATCGTTAGTCATCATTAGGGCACACTTGAGTTTAGATGTCATAAATTTAAAGTGAGATAATGACAGTGAGGGTATTGATAAGATTTTCTCCAGCCATGTTCAACTTTGCAGGCACAGTCACAAGGTAGGCAGACAGATGGATTTAACTGAGATTGTGATTTCTCCAGGAAGTATAATGAAATAAGAGAGACACAATGAAGTTGTGGATTTATGGCAAAGGAATGATTAGGATGATGAAACATGGAATTATCACTGAATAAGAAAGGGTGTAAAGACATGTGCTGAGTTAGGGACAAGGAGAAGGTGGTAGACCCATTAATTTCAGGTCTCTATGATGGGTAAAAGGATTATTGGAATTAGAGTACTGGGGAGAGTCGACTAAAATAACAGAAGGTGATAGAGAATGAGAGGCTTTGAAATCAAAATTATAGAATGGATATTGTTAACAATAATGGCAAAATCTAGGCTATAAACAGGAGTGAGTTGTAGAAATAGGACTAATAGCAGCGGAGAGTATAAGGTCAAGAGGATGAGAGACCAAAATATCAGATAGATGATTTCATAGATCTTGACTGCACCAGGAATTATGACAGGCAGTGCTGGTGTTGGAGGAAGAAACAACAATACAAGAGTTTAATTTTTCAGGAAATGAAGAGAAATGAAATACAGACTGTACACAACTACAAAAAGAAGGAATAGTGGGTGGTAGAGTATACTAACAGGAGATTCAAAATTGGAAATTCTCTTAGGGGAGAAAGAAAATTATAGTCATCAGTGAGGAGCTAAGAAAACTCCTACCCCACCTCCATTCTCGGTAGCTCAGAAGGGCTTTTTCTGAGCTTGGCCTTGGCAGTCGCTGAGGAAACCAGTCACTCTAAGGAAGCAGTTTCAGAAAAAAGCAAAGCCATTGCAGAATTAAGCAGAGAAAGGGCCTGAGCTAGCTCTTCAGCTTGGCTATCATGGCATGGAAGGAATCCAGAAACTCTCACATGCCCTCAGGAGGGTCATGCAAGGTAATTGATGGGATGATTAGCAGGGGGCCAACACCTGTAACTGTGGGCAGCCGACCATGCAGGCTGGAGATCAAAAGGAAATCACAGCCAGACTTCAGGGACAGCTGCTGAATTTTGAAGAGCTGAAATAGGGTCAAGACAGCAGAAAGCATCACAGTTTCCATCCAAGCCAAGAGAGGAGAGTATCACATATTCTTCAGTCTCAAATTTCAGCAGAGGTGGCCAACAAAGCAAAAGCTGCGACAGACTAGTAAGGGACATCATTGCTGCAGAATTCAGTACCAATACAGAGAGCAGTACAAGGACACACAGAAAGCAGAGACCCCTTCTCTGAAATGAAGAGAGACAATGAACACCCTTGCATACTCACTCTACCTTGGGAAGAAATATGAGAAGGAGGTAGTATTTGAAAATCTGAACATATTCCCAAAGGGAACTGTTTTAACACAGTCAGTAGCTTGTGATGAAGGTTAGATCATTTATCACAAATGAACAAGCTGTTTCTTCACAGATCTGAATGCAAAGACCCTTGTAACACATGCATTGAGTAAATAAAAATAAAAGTAAAATAAAGAACTATCTCATAGATAGTTATAGATTCTTTTATAGATAGACAGGCTATCTTCAACTAAGCTCTAAAATCAGCCTCAAATGTTGAATCAAAAACTGAATTATGATATTGTGGTCTGTTTGGAAGAAGATTTAGGTCAGGAGTATGAAACAGATGAAACCACACTGCAGTAATGAAGGTCAAACATGAAATGATTACAGTGTATCTAAGAAGAATTAGGAGATCAAATGCTGGAACATTACAATGCTGCAATTCTAGGTCACTACTTCTGGGAATTGGATTCTATCTTAGCCAAGTGTCCAGGTTCTCACAGGTCCAGTGGCGAAAAATGTGCTGGGGACAGGGATGGAGATAGAACAAGTACATCATCTTCTATGCTCCTGCATCCAACAACCCCAGTTCCCCTGACATAGTAGTGCTTACTCTACAGGTTGACAGAACAAATAGGTAATCCTTTTTAATCTATTGGTCGGCTTCAGATTATAAGCTTTTAAGGTAGCAAAGAAAGCTATATTTACATGTGAAAAGAACAGTTCATAAAGCCTGGATTTAAAAATAAAAAGCAAAACAAACAAACAAAAAAAATCACCTCAAATCTTGTGAGATGTCTGTAGAATAAAATCACAAATTGATAAGAACAATCTCAATTAAACCTGGCTGATATTAGCAAATATTCTTATCCAGTTTCCCAATTCTTGTTAAGACACTTAATAATCCTAACAATAACTAATGTCTATGAGTGCTTAACATTTTCCAGGCACTAGGCTGTAATACTTACACATACATATTATCTCCTTTTATTCTTACAACAACCCTATGAGGGAGCTGTTGGTTTTATCCCTATTTTACAGAGAAACTAATGTTTAGAGAGGTTAAGTAATTTGTAGAAGGACAAATACCAAATAAGTAGTGAAACAGCAATTTAAGCCCAATAATGTTCATTTCAGGGCCCATATGTTTTACAAGTGAAGAGTACCTCCCATATGATTAGCATTTATAGAAGACTTATAAAGTCTTACTATTAAAGACTTAAAGTTTATAGTTGTTTTGCTCATCTCACTTTGTGTCCCTTAAAACATCCCTGTGAAACAGGGACTGGTATTATCCTCATTTTTCAGGAGAGAAAATTAAGGTTAAGAGAGGTACTGAGCCCAAGGTTATCTCCAGCTATAGAGAAATGAAGCAGGAAGTGTGGAGAGAGAAGTTAAAACAGGGAACACTCACTCAGGTTTAATGTGGATTTTTTTGTATAATTTTACAGAACACAAAATAACATGTGAATCCAGTAACAAAAATACACCTTCCAAATCTGGCCAAATTATTGTCTAATCTAATGACTAGGGCACTGATCCTTTCTCTTCCTAATTAGCAAGTAAATATCTGGAGAGATGCTGTACTTGCCTAACTTATTGGGGTGGTGTTACTAATCTTCTACAAATGCCTCTTCTTCCCCAGATGCCATTGCCAAACTTGACTAGTCACATTGTTGAAAGAATATACCCAAATGCCCAGAAAAAAGCGTCTACTTCTTCAGTTACCAAGTGACTCAGAGGCAGTTTAAAAGAAAGGGAAACAAGAAGTATCTTAGGTAGGGACCACATATTCATTGCTCATGAGTGCCCCAGCTATAGCTGCCACCCCAGTAGCCTGTTTTGTTCAGCATTTGTCCAGGAAAAAAGCCTCATGATTTGTAGGATATATGATATAATCATCCTAACCATAGCTGAGATTGTCTTATCTATGATTAGGTCCCCTTGTTTAGAAAACTTGTCAGCCACATCCTTATCAGCTTGTGACCCAGACAGCCTTGCTGCAGAGGTTCAGGCCAGGATGTGACAGAAGGCACGGGAGGCGAAAGGCTGTACAGAAGCAGCAGCATTGAAGGACCAAGTTCTCATTACTGAGGCACTTCTGCACAACCCACAACTTCCAAATCTATTTCTCCCTATGTTCTAGATTTTTTGAATGGGTTCAAAAGGGAAAACAGAACTGCATAGGTGAACATTCATTTTATTGGAAAAATTTTAGAATCCGCTCTGCCTAAAATGTGAGGAATGTGTGTATTTAAATTTTAATACTGGAAGATTGATACTGTCACAACTAAGAAACATACAATGGCTATGGTAATACAGTATTAAAATGCTCTATTTTCCTCTTTTTAATACTACTTAAGTAATAATAAACAATACATGTAGAATGAATGTTCAACCTTTTAAAACTCCTTTTATTTTCATCATTTTATCTGTTCTCTATAGTATCTTGTAGGTAATAGGGATGATAAGATCTTATTTTCCTGATATATTTTCAAAATTATATTTTTGCCTTATTCTCAATAAAAGGATACAAAGCTGTAGTTAGACAGGGGAATAAATTTTTTGAGGCCATCATACAACATGGTAACTACAGTTAATAGTAATGTATTGTATATTTCAAAATTTCTATGAGTAAATTTTAAATGTTTTCACCACAAAAAAAGATAAATATTTGAGGTGATATGTATGTTAATGAGCTTTACTTGATTATTCCATATTTTTAAATATATCACAACATCACTTTGTACTCCAAAAATATATACAATTATATATTTTTATAATTGTCAATTTACACCAAAATAAGAAAACATATTTCAGAAATCAGAAATATGCCCTTTAAAAAAATTATGACATGTTTGAGTAAGATGATAATACTGATGTCATGTTTTTTGGATTTTCCCAATCCTCCTTAAAAAGCTAACAGAAATGAGAAGCAACTGCTAATCAGTGGAGGGTTTCTTTTTGCAATCATGTGATTGTGCAAGGTTGCACAATCTGTGTATATACTAAAAAGCATTGAATTGTGACCATTAAATGGAAGAATTGTATAATATATGAATTGTGTTCAATAAAGTTGTTACTTTTGGCAGGAATTAAACAACAGACATATTTCTCACAGTTATGGCGGCTGAGAAGTCCAAGATCAAGATGCCAGTAGGTTTGGTTCCTGCTGGGGGCTCTCTTCTTGATTTGCAAATGGCCACCTTCTCACTGTGTTCTCATGTGGTAAAGAAAGAGAGTAAGCTTGGCCAGGTGCTGTGGCTCAAACCTGTAATCCCAGCACTTGGGGAGGCCAAGGTGGGTGGATCAGGAGGTCAGGAAATTGAGATCATCCTAGCCAACATGGTGAAACCCTGTCTCTACTAAAAATACAAAAATTAGCTGGGCTTGGTGGCACATGCCTGTAATCCCAGCTACTCGGGAGGCTGAGGCAGGAGAATGGCTTGAACCAGGGAGTCGGAGGTTGCAGTGAGCTAAGATTACGCCACTGCACTCCAGCCTGCTGACAGTGAGGCTCCGTCAAAGAGAGAAAGAGAGAAAGAGGGAAAGAGGGAAAGAGAGAAAAGAAGGAAGGAAGGAAGGAAGGAAGGAAGGAAGGAAGGAAGGAAGGAAGGAAGGAAGGAAGGATGGTTAAAAAAGCTCTTATTTTTAAAAAGCTAACAGAGTAACTAGGATATCATGATGGGTTAAAGGAGGCCACAGACATTCCTGTCATTAAGAGGGAAAGTCTGTTTTCCTTGCCCTTGTGTCTGGGCTGTCTTATGGCTGCTTTGAATAATGGAGTATGTGAAAGTGATGCTATGCCAGTTCCAGGCCTAGTCTCTCTTAAGAGAGCTGGCTGACTCCATCTTGGTCTCTTGGAGACTTCACTGCTATGTTAGAATGTTATCTTGAAGTCACTCCAGTCTAAGGAAACTTAAGTTAGCCATGTGGAGAGAGAAAGAGAAAAAAAGGATGGTTGGCCAGTCCCCAGGTGTTACAACTCTCAACTATTCAAGCCATTTCACCCAGGTTGAGGTTGCAACATTGTAAAACAGAGACAAGACACCGGTGCCATGCCATGCCTGCATCTATGACCCAAAAACATTCTGAGATATAATAATTGTCCTTCTAAGGCAATAAGCTCTTGGTATGTTTGTTATGCAGCAACAAACAGAATAGATTGCAAAACAAGGTGATGAAGTATCCTGTACATCCCAGGAAAAGAGCAAGAGAGTTTGAAACACTGAGCACAGCAAGATTCTAGGAAGAATAGCAGCTGTGCAGGAATAAATAAAGAGGATACAAACGGAATTCTGACAAGTTCTTAAGGGCAAGAAACCCAGGCATTTCCAAAAAGCATTCATTCCCAAAGGAGGAGGTTTCCACTCAGGGTGGAGTGTTTAAATGACCAAACTTAGCACAGTCATAACTTCAGGGAGACTTCACAGGTTCCTGCTTATAGATTAGTACAAGGGGATTGCAGAAAGTTCTGAGGGTGTTGGGACAGACTGGGCCCTCTGGGATCTCAAGAATAACCAAAGCCCTACAATGAAGAGAAATTGCTCAAAGCAGAACACCACTTGTTCAGGATAAAAAGCTCCCGGGTGTCAGAGGGACAGAAGATTTAGATTCCAGTGAAAAAGGAGAGTAGAAGAGGTGGATCTCAGAAAATATTAGAGATTCATCTATGCTGATAAATTTCTTTCTTTTGTTTTTAAGCATGTCACAGTGAAACCTAAGAGGAAACCTGGAATTATGAAGCTGGAAAAGCAATCTTGACTTTCATTTCTGCTAAGCAAACACTTGCTTCTAAAATACAGGAAACTGCTTTTCACTTAAAATGAACAATTAAAAGGATTGCAGCAAAATTCAACTAAAAAAATTGCAAGTTATCAAGGAGAAAAAAAAACCTAAATCATACACTAATAGAAAATAATTCACATAAGAAAAATATGGCTACAAAACAGAGTTGGAATCCAATATAACCAAAAAACACTACAAAATTATAGAAGCTATTAAATAAAAGACAAATCCAAATTTTAAAACATTGTAAATGTTGATGGACTTAGGGATCATTAAGCAACAGATGTAGATGAAAGTAAATGAGGATTAAACTAGACAAACCAATAAATAGAAATTAATATCACAGAATGTACCACTGTGGAAGCAGAGAGAAAAGAAAAATGAAAAAAAGAAATTAATAATTTTTTAAGTTAGATAAAATAGTAAATTAACAAAAGGCAAAAACAATGCAACATAGATACATAAAGAATTCCTAAAATAAGTGGAATAAGTGGAACAGGAAAAATACTGGAAATATATAATTCAAGGAAACATTTCTTAAATAAAAGAATTAAATTGCATAATTAAAGCACATACAATAGGAAACTAATAAAAATTTTGTTTTTCTTTTTCTTGAGATGGGGTCTTACTCTGTTGCCCAGGCTAGAGTGCAGTGGAGTGATGATGGCTCACTGTAGCCTTTATCTTCCAGGCTCAAGTAATCCTCCCACTTCAGCTTCCCAAGTAGCTGAGACCACAGGCATGCACAGCATACCAGACTAATTTTTTATTATTATTTGTAGAGACAAACTCTCACTATGTTGCCCAGGCTGGTCTCAAAATTCTGGGCTCAAGCAATCCTCCCACCTCGCCCTCCCAAAGTGCTGGGATTATAGGCATGAGCCACCATGCCCAGCCAAATATAAATTTTAGAACTGAAAGATACAATAGCTCAATTTTTTAAACTCAATAAATTGGCTCAACAGCAGAATGGAGGGGACAGAGAAAAGAATCAATGAACCAGAAGATAAAACAATAGAAATTACCCAACCTGAATAACAAAGAAAAAATTCTTTTAAAAAGTGACATTCAGGGAGCTGTGGAGCTATAATAAAACATTCACTCAAGAAATCAGAGTCTCAGAAGAATAGGAGAAAGAGGATGAGGATAAAAAATTACTCAAGGAAATAATAGCTGAACACTTTCTGAATGTTGCAAAAGACATAAACCTATAATTAAAGTAGCCAAGTGATGAAAAACAGAAGATTTTAAAGAAATCTGCATCAGAAGACAGAGTAAATCTTCTAAAAATGAAAGGCAAATTTTAAAAATCTTCAAAGCGGCAAAAGAGAAATGTATTCCTTTTCTATAGGAGAAAAATATTTAAATGACAGTGGATTTTTTATCAGAAATCATGGAAGCCAGAACAGAGTAGCACATTTTTCAAATACTTAAAGAAATGAATTTCCAACCCAGAATCCTATACCTAATGAAAATAGCTTTCAGGGGTGAAAAAGAAATCAAAACATCCTCAGATGAAAAATTATTACTAGAATAATTTATCACCAGCATACCTACCTTACAAGAATTACTAAAGAAAGTTGAATTTATAATTTTAAAATTCCCCCAAAAAGGAATATTCAGGCCCACATGATTTCCTTCTGTAATTCTAACAAATGTTTAAAAAATTAATTCTACACAATCTCTTCCAGAAAATGGAGGACGAAGGTACGCTTTTCAATTAACTTTATGAAGTTAGTACTACCAAAATGCAAACCAGCAAAGGATTTTAAACAATGGATTGACACACTGATTTATACAGTAAAAAAATGATAACTTGGGTGAAAATAATTTAGCAGATATAATAATTTAGCAATATAAAAGGCAGATAATTCAATTAAGAAGGAAGTATACTGGTCCAAGAAACAGACTGTGAACGTCAGAGTTATGGCTCTATTGATATATATGGATAGAAGAGAACAGATCAAAAGAGACTCAAGAGAAAGAAGCCATGGAATTTGGAGAATTGTCATTAATGGGAATTGGGAATACAGGAGGAGAAATCGTTTTGTAATGAAAATAGTAAGTTCACGTTTGACACTCTGTGGACACTCTAATGGTCATGAACTTACAACCCTGAGTCTCAGGAGACAGATACGTATTCTGGAGACTTCGATATATTAGCAGTATAGCCATAGAGGCAGATGGAATTCACTCAATAATCCTATGCAGAGGGCCGGGTGTGGTGGTTCACACCTGCAATCCCAGCACTTTGGGAGGCTGAGGCAGGAGGACTGCTTTAGGCCAGGAGCTCGTAACCAGCCTGGGCAACATAGGGAGACCCCATCTCTACAAAAAAAAGAAAATTAGCCAGGCATGGTGGCTCACTCTGTAGTCCTAGTTACTCTGAAGGCTGAGGTAGGAGGATCACTAGAGCTGAAGAGTTCAAGACTGCAGTAAGCTGATTGTGCCATTATACTGCAGCCTGGGCAACAGAGCAAGCCCCTGTTTCTAAATTTAAAAAAAAAAATTAAAATAATTTTTAAATTAAAAACAACAAGAATCCTATGCAGAGTAAAAACAAATTTGTCTTTTAAAAATCAGTGTTTTTAGAACCTTATTTATTCAAGTACCACTTTCAGAACTTTTGACATCTAGCACACCATATCACCCACACTATTGTATATTTAATAATTTTCTTGGACTCTCATATCTTCTACTTAAATTTATTTTAAAACAAAACCTTTTATCAGCACTGTAAAATAAAATCAATGTTACCTCTCATAATAAATGGGAAATGACCATAAAAATAAATGTGGTTCTAATTGTTTATATTTTAATCCAATATTATTACCTGTGATACTCCAGTGCCTGCTTCAGCTCCTGGCAGCTGTTCTCTTTGTTAAAATAAAGGGTTTTTTAAGAAAGACTTACCACAACCTAATATAATAAGACAAACTTTCCACAATCTAAAATAATAAAAATTAAAAATAATTTAAAAGGAGAACAATTGAATTTTTACTATATGATTGGATATGATTTAACCCACTGTGATATTGGATACTGGATATTATTTCATGCCCTGTGAGCCACCTAAAATTATTTCCTGTGCTACCTTTGGAATGTGATCTCCAATTGGGGAAAATATTGCTTTGAAGGATAGACAGAGGAAGAGGGTCAGAGATGTACTCAGAGTGTCAGAAAGGGTCAGAGTTCCAAGGTGGACTAGAGTAAAGGAGGAGAAATGAATCAGTAGACATAGAATCAACAGGGTCAAGTTATATAGAATAGTGTCAAATAGCATAGAAAGATTAGCTCTGGGGATTTATAGAGGCACATTCAGGATGGCTCTCAAGAGTCCAGATAATGATTAAACAAACAAGTAAACACCTACTTGCTCCTGAGCTATAGCTTAAGGAACTGAGTGAAGCTAAAAGATCTTACACTTGCTCCCCATCAGGTGACCAATTTGAACCTACACCTAACATTAGCTCTCCTCCAGCATCTCTTCCTCTCCTCTCTGTCCCCTCTCCCAAGCCCACCATCCTCTTGCTGTACCTGATGCGTTAGTAAAGAAGTATGCCAAGAGCATGTAGTGTAGGACCCCTCACCTGTGAGGACCATTTGCAACTGACCACATTCTCCCACTCAGCAGTGTCTCCCGCAATAAAAGCTTTGTGCCCAGACTAATCACCTTTCAGAAGAAGTCAAAAGCGAGGCAGTCAGCATAAGATGTAGGAGTGAAATGAAAAATCATATAGGAGATAATAAAAATATACAGGAGCTTTAACTTGCTACAACTCCACACTGCTCTACTTACTTTCAAATAAATGTGAGCCTTAAATCATTATGCAGACTCTGTGATGAGTATGCACTGCATAAAAAATGTTAGCTTCCTTTACTCTTCCAAAATGTGATTGATCATCTTCCACTCCATCCGCTCTGCACACTTGACTCGTTTTAATATGTGGTCAAAAATAATTTTTATTTGCAAAGTGTGGTCAACAAGTAACACTTTGGGGAAAAAAATGTTTGTTTAGCAAATCTGAAGGTCTTCATTTGCATTTTTCTCTTTTGTTCACTGATCTCTGACAAAATGATATTTTTCAACCTTTCCTTTTTGCCAAACCCATGAAACCTTACGTGTCACCTACATTAAATATACACAATTTCCTTTTAAATGTATTCACACAACTAGTTTAGAAACAGACTTGTGTATAATCTGAGAAGTTATAACTTCTTATACTCAATAGTTTTCATTCTAAATAGTTTTAGTATTTTTAAGCCTCATTCCCACTGAAAAACATCCTCAAGTTAATGACATAAAATAGATGATAAACAGATGTGAATAGAGCAACTCAAATTCTGTAAAATATTATATCTCCCAAATGTCCAAATTTCAATTTAAAACTTAAATACAAATTTAGACAACTATTTTCATAAAGACTTGAACACTGTGCATAATCAACAGAGAAAAATAATTTTTGTTTCACCAAACTACAATAAAGGACCAGAGTAGTGTGAACATTTGCATTGAAATGAAAATGCAATGTTCATTCCAATATAGAGCAGAACCTCTAAAATGTTGTACAGCTTATATATTCTATGGTATTTTTGTAATCTAAACTAAGACAAACAAGCACAAACTTAGTATAATTATAAGTAGTCAAAGAAGAGTTAAAAGAAACTCAGAACCACCATTCTCCTGAATAGCTCCAAGAGAGAAAGCGGGCAAGAGGGAGAGGCAAAAAGAAGGAAGGAAGGGAAGAAGGGAGGCTGAGGAGAAAGAGGGAGAGGGAAGGAGGGAGGAAGAGGTGGGGCCAACAGGGAGGGAAGGAGGGAGGAAGAGGTGGGGCCAACAGGGAGGGAAGGAGGGAGGAAGAGGTGGGGACAACAGGGAGGGAAGGAGGGAGGAAGAGGTGGGGCCAACAGGGAGGGAAGGAGGGAGGAAGAGGTGGGGCCAACAGGGAGGGAAGGAGGGAGGAAGAGGTGGGGACAACAGGGAGGGAAGGAGGGAGGAAGAGGTGGGGCCAACAGGGAGGGAAGGAGGGAGGAAGAGGTGGGGCCAACAGGGAGGGAAGGAGGGAGGAAGAGGTGGGGCCAACAGGGAGGGAAGGAGGGAGGAAGAGGTGGGGCCAACAGGGAGGGAAGGAGGGAGGAAGAGGTGGGGACAACAGGGAGGGAAGGAGGGAGGAAGAGGTGGGGCCAACAGGGAGGGAAGGAGGGAGGAAGAGGTGGGGACAACAGGGAGGGAAGGAGGGAGGAAGAGGTGGGGACAACAGGGAGGGAAGGAGACTTCAATCTGTGACTTTGTCATTTGGCTGTGTGTGTGTGTTCCTTCCTCACCACTGCCTCTTGACTACAAGTGATTTCTTAATTATCCTATAAAACAAGGGTCAGCAAACTATGGCCCACAGGCCAAATTCAGCCTGCTGTCTGTTTTGGTATAATAACATTTTACTGAAATATAACCCCACTCATATGTTTACACAATAGAGTTAAGTAACTGCAACAAAAAGACACATAGCCTGCAAAGCCTAAAATATCTGGCCGTTTGCAAAAGAACTTTAACAACCTCTGCTCTAAAACATTACCCAAATGGCATTTCATCCCCTGTGAAATTTTCCTGACTCTCATTAATATTATAGTCCTGCATTTCCTGATAGAAGATGGCAAATGTTATTTGCATTGCACGATTACAGTCCATTATAGGTTTTGGGGTGAAGGGATTATATGTATCTTCTCCCTACACTGTGAGCTGCTCAGGAGCAGAGGCTCTGCCATTTTAACGTCACCTACCTCTGGCCCAATACCTGCCATAAATAGAAAGCTCAATTCATGTTTCTGCATGAATAGCATAACCTTTTACATGATGGAAAAACATCATAGTACCTCCAGAATTAAAAGAAACATATTACCATGTTATGATTAGTCATTCTCGGGGTGTGACTGAGAAATAGGCTCAGAATTAGTAGATGACATGATGTTCGTGGCTGTTTTGTTTTTTGTTTTTGTTTCCAAAGTGGCTTATTTGATTTGGATTCCAGAAGCAAATTCTGAGAAGGAGATGTGTGTGTGTGGGAAATGTACCGGGTACTGTTCTAGGGAAATACCATCTGTGATGGAGTAAAGGTGGTAGGAATGGGCAGAAGTTGAATTGCAATGCAGTTGCCACCAAGGCCTCAGCCAATCCCATACAGAACGTTGGAACTAGGATAGTCCTGCAGAGTTTTCCAGGATTGAGGCAAAAAACTAGGCCTCTGCACCACTGCTTAGCATAATCAATGGTTATGGGAACATCTGGAAGAGATAGCATAGAAGAGTGGTCTGCATAGAAGCAGTTCCCTTCTGCCAAGGAAGCTGAAAGCAAGTCCTTCTGGAGGAAGATCCAGCTGTGAGCCATCAGCAGGCAAAAACTTAGTGAATGTGTGTGTGCCCATGTTGGCTGTGAAGAAAAATCTGGGAGGGGGTCTATAGCAGCCAACATGAGCAGGCGGAGACACTCCCTCAGAAGCTCATACCTCAGAAGTTATGAGAATAATATAGAACCCTGAGCCCCCAGCCGTGATCTTTCTAAAATAGGCTAAATATTCACAAAAGCACCAACAGGGTTCAAGCCCAAGTAATCAGTTCTCCAGCCTCTGTGGCTGTCAATCTGCCATGATCTGTCCCTTCAGTCTTAATAAAATTACTGCAGACAGGGGAAATTGCCCTCCTATGGAACTATGGGAAATCACAATCGGTAATAGTCTTTTAGGCCAAACTGTGAGATTTCTTATAACTTGCACAGCCTAAAGTTGATCGGTCCACTTAGAATTAGGAAGCCTAGCAGGAATGATTAAAAAGCATCCATTCAGAAAACATTCCCAGACTCATCACCATCTGGTCAGATCTGATTATTACACAGTCAAGGAAACTCCCACCGGAGACACCACAGGGAGAATTCTTCTGAGGCTGCCACTTAGCATTTGTTAACGGCAGCAGGGAATAAGTGTGATGTACGACAGGCACTGTATGCCAGGTACCTGCACATCATGCTGCACTCCACTGACTCGTCTTTCAGCAAGTCCAGAGATAAGGAGATGCATGGTGATATTTTAAAGTGCTTTAATGATTTTTTAAAAAGAGTGGAAGATACATACTTTTGAAAACAAGAAAGAAAACAAAACAAAAAAAAAATATGCTGAATGCAGAGCAGCATGCCCGTCTCATTCCATACTGGTCAGCAGCCTCCGCGCTCCAACTAGGAACACGAATGCCATTTTTCAAACACCCCAGATGCTTCCCTGCATGCAAGACTTTCTAACCAATTTTTCAAACTAAGTACAACCCTGAAATGTGACTGCTTTCTCAATCTGCTTTGAAAGAGTTTCAGCAGTTTTGATTTCTGCCAGTAGGTTTAGGATCCCCACAGAACACAGCTACAAATAAAAGCTAAAGATAAATAGAAAGGAGAAAGTAGGTTTTGCCAGGGTGCTAACTCTTCTGAACTTCACATAGGAGAGGAGACCTGCTGTGATGAGACTGTTGGTTAGAAAAAAAGACATATCAACAAGATTCACCAAAAAATCCCAACTGCAACTCAGAAAAGCTTCCAAAAGTTGACATTCTATACTAATAACAAGTGAAAAACATCAATTACATTTACATTATTGAAGCTGAGCATAAAGAGAACTGGATAAATCAAAGAGATTCCTCGGGTTTTTCCAACCTTCAGAGATTCTACCCAGGACATTTAGTAAACTACAAGCAAGAGGACATGTCAAATAGGCTAATCTGACAATTCTTAGGCATTCATTTGCAGTCATGAATGGTACACAGATAATCTTCCTATTGAAAGTTTTTCAATAAAATTCAAGGGCCAGAAGTTGGGAAAGAATTGGTCATTTGTTGTTGTAGCTGTCTTCCATAACTTGGCTAGTGATTGAAAAACTTCTCAAATGTAACTGCAGCAACTTCGCTGGAGTACAGCCTGGAGTACAGCTGTGATCAGCAAAGCTGACTAGGCTCATGGCATTTGAATCAAATCCTCTTGATGTGTAATTTGTCTAAAATATTTTCTTCATTATGTTGTGTTAAGAACTCTTACTCTGCAGACCAAGTCTACCTTGCATGTGACAAACATGATTTAAACCAGTGGTTCTCAAACAGGAGTGAATTTGTCCCCATGGGACATTTGGCAATGTCTGGAGACATTGCTGGCTGACTCAACTAGAGTGTGGGGAGTGTTAATAACATCTAATGCAGGGTTGACCAATCTTTTGGCTTCCCTGGGCCACACTGAAACAAGAATTGTCTTGGGCCACACATAAAATACACTAACATTAACAATAGCTGATGAGCTAAAAAAATAAAAAAATAAAAAAAACTCATAATATTTTAAGAAAGTTTACAAATTTGTGTTGAGCCACATTCAAAGCCTTCCTGAGCCACATGCAGCCTGTGGGCCACAGGTTGGACAAGCTTGAGCTAGTGGGTAGAGGTCAGGAATGCTATTAATCATTCTACAATGCATAGAGCAGCCTCTTTCCCCCCAAAAAATTCAATAGTGTCAAGGGTGAGAAATTCTGACTTAGATCTTGCTCAGGTTGAGACTATAGAAGCCCTGTGGAAGAAAATGCTGCAAAGCAGTTCAGTTGTGCGCAATATGCACATGAAGTATATGCAGTATGCACAAGAAGGGCAACAGAGCTTTGCTTCAATGGAAATCTACTGAGCAGATCTATTTTAGGATCTTGTACTGTCCATCACAGTTTGCATCAATCTAATCAGTCTATAAAGCAGAAGAATAAAAAAATTAAGTGCCTACATTCTGCTTTCTCTGATTCCTGCCCAGGATTTTGACTCTTCAAAGACAGGAGCAATTTTACAACCTCATCCTCAGTTTAGTGACTAGTTAATGCTGACTGCTTTGCCTTGTTACACAAGAGGTTTACAAACAGAAAAGCACAGATGACTTTTAACCATTAAAAATTGTGCCTATATGTTTAGTGAAGAGGACACTAGCTATTTTCCAATCCAAGATTTACATGATTAATAACACATGCCATTCCTCAACCCTTCCTTATTTGGGGAACTCCTTCATTATGAATTCAAACCTTTTTAACCTGAACCCAGGCCTCTATTTAACTGTTATTGGATAGTTCTCCATAAATTCATAATGACCAGATTTTAACTCATCTGTTTGCTAAAAAACTGATATCTTTCCAATGTATTTTCCTCTTCCACTATTGTCTGTTGACCAGATCAAGCATTTATACCTTCTTTCTCTAATCACTCCTATTTAGTTAGGCTCTATAGATTTTTTACTTTGAGTTATCTCTTCTACTCTCCCTTCCACTTTATTTATAATATCATACTCCACTTCTAGGTCTCCCAGAGCCTTTTTTCAGGTGTTCCTGCTGACTCGAGGCTTTCCTTTTCCTTCCTACACCATCCCAACTACATCTTTTATATAATAGTCATCTTCATCAAACCTCACCCATTTTAATCCATTTGTGTTATATTTATTTAAGACTTAAGGAGATACAGCAAGGTAGTTGGTTGAATAGGTTCTCACAGAAATTCATATCCACCCAGAACCTCAGAATGTGACTTATTTTAAAATAGAGTCTTTTCAGATGTAATTTGGTTGTACTAGATTAGGGCTGGCCCTAAATCCAATGACTGTTATCCTTATAAGAATGTGCGTGGACACCCAGAGAAAAAGGGCAGCCTAAAGATGGGGGGCAGATATTAGAGTTATGTGTCTACAAGCCAAAGAATGCTAAGAATTGCCAGCAAACACCAGAAGCTAGGTGAGTAGCATGGCATGGTTCTTAGAGTCTCCAAGAGGAGTAAACCTTGCCAATGTCAATGCCTTAATTTTGGACTTCTGGCCTTCTAAATTGTGAGAGGGTAAATTTCCATTGTTTTCAACATTGAGTTTGTGTTAATTAGTTCTGGTAGTCCTAGGAAACTATTACAGCGGTCATAACAAAATGCTTCAGTCTTCCAACTACAGGTAGCATAATTGTCCAAAGACCCCAGGTGCTGCTCTAATACCCACTTGGCGTTTGCTCCAAGGCCACGTTTCCCATAGGCTGCTCCCTGCCAGTGACTAAGAGCAGCATACACACAAAGCAGAACAATTCCTGGGAGGCACAGACTACTTTGTTGGCCAGTTTGACTCCAAGACTCTTTCAAAGCCTTGTTACACTATTCTTAGACTGAA
This sequence comes from Homo sapiens, assembly GCF_000001405.40. NCBI lineage: Eukaryota > Metazoa > Chordata > Mammalia > Primates > Hominidae > Homo > Homo sapiens. The sequence goes on from NC_000007.14 coordinate 89,930,198, forward strand.
TACTGTCTGAAATGCTCTCATCCTGCCTTCTTTTCCTCTCTTCTTTTGGAATAAGTCTGCCTCCTGGTCTGATGATCCTCTAACCTTCCCCAACTCCCCTCCTAATTTTTCCCGTAAGTGTATCCCTAATAAAATGCATACATATTAAATTGTACCTTGCTATCTACCTCCTGGAAAACCTGAACTGACCCAGAAGAGAATGACAGACTCTGGTTTCTATTTGAAAAATAGAAAATAGATTGCTCTGCCTGGTTTGTGGAAAGTAAATTAGAATTTGGCAAGATTGAAAGGGAAAGACCAAATAGAAATATAATGCAGTAGCTAAAGGAGAGAGGCTTGTGGCTTGCAGTATACTAGTGATAGCAGTAGATGCAGTGGTCAGATTCCAGATATACTTCGGCAGTAAGACTTATAAAACCTGGTGATGCATTTATGTGAGGGTGTAGGAAAAATCAGTATCAAGTTGATTCCTTAATTTCTAGCAAGAGCAAATGCAAGGATGTTGGTGACATTCACTGAGATGTAGAATGCTGGAAGAGTAAATCCAAAACTAAAAAATTAAAATTTTAGTTTATATATGTTAAGATCAAAATTATTTGCAGATATCTAAACAGAGACGTCAAAGAGAGAATTGATTCTTAAGAAGCTCAAAAGAGTGGACCAGACTTCTACATGAAGTTGGCAGATATAAGAATCCAGTGTTTAAAGCAGAGGGAGTAATTCAAATCTTTTAGGAAATAATGTAGAGTTAGCAACAAAAGGGCAGTCATGAGGCCTTCCAAAATGTAAAGGTCAAGACCAGAAAAGGAAGTGGACAATGGAGACTGAGACAGAATGAAAAGAGGGGTAGGAGGAAAGTGTGAACATGGTATCCACAAAGGGAAGGGAAGAGTGCATTTTGAGGATGAGTGGAGGGTTCACTGGTCAAATGCTGTTGCAAATACAAGAAAGATCATTTAAAATTGTCCATTGGCTTCGGAGACAGTTAATCTTCATGTTGGTGGAATGGTGATGATGGACGCAAGATGGGAGGGGTCTGAGAAGAGAATAGGACTTCAGATCAAGTTGCCTCTGTCAGTATGTAAACCGTTATGCCCCAAACACACATCACTGATAGAAAAGCTTGCATTCATAACAAAAAAAATATAGCCAAGGGGATTTCCACTTTGGTATTTTTGAATGTAAACTTTAAGCACTTTCCCACCACCACTTATCAATGTTTTCTTTTCATATTTATAACCATAATAAAAAAGATAAACTTTTGTGTAGCCAGAAGGCCAACAGAAACAAACAGCAATAATAGAAGCTAAAACAATGTGTTTCTGGATAAGGAGTCACAAGAGACAAAGGCAGAGCAGAGATATCGACTCTCTGTGTTGTGTCATGTGCCGCATTTTGAGCTCTCTGCATTGAAGGATATCTGCTACTTGAAGGCAGGACAACTGTTTATTTGGAATTTACCTCTTTACTGTTTGGTCAATAGTCTCTATTCCAATATACTCACAAAGTATTGTTTTAAGCATAAAATCATATTAAGATTAAATATACAAATTCTTAGATTATCATCATCATCTGATCTCTCTGAACTTCTTTTTCATTTTACTACATTCTTTAGTCCTTCCTGGCAAAACCCAACTCCTCCATTTTCCTTCCAATACCACTGTTATAACCTCTTTGACGTCATTAGAGACAACATTATTCAAAATATTTGGGCTACTGGTGATCATTGCCCATAATCTCAGTCTCTACTGTCACATCAGTAAAAGCCTGATGACTCTTATTTAAGAGAAAATAAGGAGGTTCTAGACATCAGAAAGACTACCTGATGACTCTTATTTAAGAGAAAATAAGGAGGTTCTAGACATCAGAAAGACTATCAGTCTATTGTAGCCTAAAGGAATACTATTCAAGTTTAAAGTCAATGGAAGCCTTAAAAGGTTGATATGGTATTCAAAGTGCAATCACTCAATATAATCAAGTGTCTTACTCTTTACAGATAAAAGACCAGAAACAAAAATGTAATATAAAGTTTACTAGGATATTACTTGGCATTTATTGCAGGTAATATAAAGATATTTTAAGAAAAAATGCATATTTTGCATCTATGTGAGATTTACAAGCACATATCTCCAAGTCAAAATTAACACTGAAGTCCACATGGCCAGAGACTAGTACACAAGTACACATGAAATGAGTTTGGTAGTGATCTCCCAGATAAAACCACAGCAAAGAAGCATCAAAGCAGCAGCATTGTGAACTCTACTTCAATTCTTTAATGTACCATCTAAGTTTGGATAGTTTGGAGGTCCATACAAAGGCATTGGTTACCCTGGCCCACATCAAGAGTGCTGGATATTTTTGCTTGCAGTAATGAAGTATTTACACACATATTACATGTTGCAGAAACACTCCAGCTACCTGAAGAAAGGGCTAGCATACTAAAGAGGAGAAAAATAAAACAGAACAAATTTTGATATGAATAACTATGCCTTAATAGCAATACCAAGGGCCATGTAGCTTTCTGGACAAGGTTTAAGATGGCAGTGGTGGCCCTCTACACCCGGCAGAAGAATAAATCTTAAGGATATTCAAAAGGCACATGTCCTGTTTTCAGTATATGTAATAGGGGAGGTTTCTCCCCTGGACCTCCAGGTGCAGTTAGGCTGCCAACAAGTCAGAATAATGAGTAGGCTCACCCCACACATGCCCTGCTCTCTGTACCCCAGGCAGGCATTTGTCAGAGTATAAATTATCTACAGTGGTCTCCAAAGGCTCTGGAAAGTTAGTGTATATCCTTGAAAAAAGGAGAGAAACCCTAGAACTAATATTATAGAAAATAGGGGCTAAGTAAAGGTATATTCTAAGTAGAAAATGTTGCTCTGGTTAGAAAACACACACACAAATGCATTCTTGCCAACACCAAGTGAAACATCAGATGCTAGTTATTCAATTCTATATTCCTTCCTAGTCACTTTAAAATCTAAGGACATGAATAGCAATGTTTAAATGTCAGCATTGAATCTTGACAACAGCTTAAGGCCTCATTATTTTAACGTATCTTCACTGAGTGATAACAGACACCAAAGAAATACATAATTAGATAATTACTTTGTATTGGCTCAATCTTTTTAAGGACTCCAAAGAATATTAAAAACTTTGAAAGATCAAGGATGCAGCAAATTTAACTCTTCAATGAAATGCAAATTTAAAATAGCACTGCAGTAATGCTGACATTCTGCCTTACGGAGGAGGGTAGGGAAGGAAGGAAACCAATCATCTATATTAACCAACAAATCAGTGACCAGAACATTTTCCACAGAAAGTAACAAAATATCTGATCATTTGAAGCTTAAATGATAAAGTTACTCCATTTCCTCGTGTAACAAAAAGCTTGAAGTAGTAATTCAGAAGTGGTTCAATAGTGCAACTATGCCAAACCACTGGACTGTGAGACTGATTTGCTCAGCCTTCTTATAGCCTCAAGGTGCCTGTGGCCTTCCCCATTGAGAGTTGAGGTGTGAGTAGATGAAGTACCTAAGGGAGCACTAAGACAGGGAAAGTACCTTGCATGATCACATCCAAAGAAGGAAGAGAAAAAAGAGCGGAAGAGTATTTTCCCTTCATACAATTCTCTCTTATCAAGAAGAAAAGTACCTTCCAGCAGATTTCCCATTACTTCTCATCGGTTAAAACTAAATCATATGTTCATATTGAGACTAATCAATGCCTAAGGAAATGGGATTGCCACATTGGATTAGATATATCAGCCCGGCCTCCGAGGACTTGGTAATTGAGGTCTGAATAAAATCGGAGCATTGCTAGCAAAGAAAAAGGGAGAACATTAGTAGACAACAAGCAGTGTCAGCCACAACTCTACATTTTATACTAGAGGTCAAAATATTTGGCTCTATTGGATGTTTTAAGTAAAGTAGTTTCTCTTTCTTTCCAAAGTAATGCAGAGTTTCAACTTTATAAATATAAGAACCAGTTCCCTGGATGACCTCCCTGCTGGTATAATAAAGCACTAGGAGATAGGTGCTTGCATGCTTTCCAAGGAATTTAGACCCCAGTCACGTGAGACTCCATGGATTACAATCATCACTGAACTTCCCCCAAAGCAAATAAGTAATTAGTGCAGTCTCCAGAACATAGAGTTATTGTGGAAAAATACAGCTAAATACAGCAAATGCTCTATTACTGGCTTCCACTTCTGTGCAGTCTTCCAGCTCTAAGTACAAGTCATTGCAATAATCTGATCAAATGGTATCAAAGGTGAGGCTAACTGCAGCAAAGAATTTCTGTGCTGGCCAGTTAAATATTGATTATTCCCCAAAATGGAATGGCCACTTTAGATCATATCACAGAACTAATAAACATTATCTCCTTGAACTCAAAAGGGACCCAGAAATAAGCTCAGCTTGAGACTTAACCAATTTATTCTTTGTTACTTTGATTCTCTCTTATTTCAACTTGGATGCTTTGCTAGAATTAGTATTATGAGAATACAGTGTTATTTCCAGTAGGTCCTTCAGTTGTAAATCTGAAATTCCAAGTATAGTTCTGATCTCTCTATATTGAGCTAATTCATTCAGTGTCACTGATGGAGGGTGAAGCATCTTATGTGCCTGAGATAAGAGATAAATGAAAGAATTCTTCACAGTCTATTGGGAACACAGAGAGGTAAACAGTTACAAGGTGGTATGCAAGAAGAAACAATCTGGAAAAAAGGGAGCATGTCACACATGATGTGGTAAAACAGTGCTATGTACTCAGGGTGAGCTTTGGAGGCAGGGAGGAGGTTGTTCAGATCTATCCAGGGCCACTTACTAGCTGTGTGACAGAGCATACATTGCTCTCTCTCTAAAACACAGAAAAATGTGTTATTACTACCAGAGAGGTTTTAAGCATTAAATGAGATGAAAACTGCAAGTGCATGGCACCCTGCCCCCACACAGAAGAAAAGCTAGATAAATGTTTTTCCGTTCCCCTTCTTGTTCCTATCCCTTCCTCAGGGAGAGACCAGGTCAGATTATTCTGGAGAGCAGAAAGCTCCAGGATGGGGCACAGTGGACCAGGGCTCAACTGCCAGAGATGAGTGCTGTAAGCACTGAATAAGTCTTTGAGTAAATTCAAACTGAGGTCAGAAGGAAGAGTTGGGAAATAAGCATTGCCTATTTTCTTTTTTCACAATTAGTTTTATAAAGTTTTATTTATTTTTTAACATGTTTATTGTGGTATCATTTATATGCAAAGAACAGCACACATTTAATATGTACAATTTGATGAGTTTGGACATATGTGAACACTCATGAAACCATCACCATAATCAAGGTAATAGACATATCCATCACCTTCTAAGTTTCCTTGTATCCGTTTGCTTTTTTGGGTTTTTTTTTTTTTTTTTTTTTTTTTTTGGTTTGGGAGAGGGGGTTGTTTGTTTTTGCTAAAAACACTTAACATGAGATCTACCCTCTTAACAAATTTTGAAGTGTACAATACCGTATTGTTAACTATGGGCACTATACTGTGCAGCAGACCTCTAGAACTTATCTAGCATAACTGAAACTTTATACCTATTTAACAACTCCCCATTTACCTCAGCCCCTGGCAACCTAGGGGCTAGAGTAGTCTTTGCTTCTGTGAGTTTGACTGACCTCATACAAGTGGAATTGTGCAGTATTTGTCCTTTTGTGACTAGCTCATTTCACTTAGCATAATGTCTTTAATGTCCAGCTATGTTGTCCCAAATGGCAGGATTTCCTTCTTTTTTAAGGTGGAGTAATATTCTATTGTGTATATAAACCACATTTTCTTTATACAGATATTTTAAGAGCTAGTGTGAGGAACCAAAGGCCCCTGTGTTTGCTGATTGGTTTCACTCAAAAGTAAAATTTTTTGTATGCCTTCATCACAGGAGGTAGTTTTAGAACTTGAAGCAAGCAACCCACCAAAGTTAAGCTCCTACCCTCCACAGAGAATAGCAGATTGGGATGCTATCTTCTTTGATGACTACATTTCTAAGGGATGGCTCCTAGGTCCTAAAGACAGTCCTGTGTTGTAAAAGGAGCTAGGAGCTTTTAAAAATATGTACATCTCAAAGGGGCAGAGTAAGAATTTGGAAGTATAAGTTTTCTAAAATAAACTCCCTAAGAAAGGAAGGGGAGGTACTTCTGCAGTTAGGCCATCAGGATTCTGTCAGGGCTGGGGTTGACAGGGGGGTCAGAGCCCTAAAAGGATAAGGAAATCTGTCTAAAATTTATTAAGGTGGAGGAAAATGTTACACTCATTTTTGTCAATAACAAAGGGCCAAAATTTTTAACTTTGATTAAGTCTAAGTTATCAATAATTATCCTATATGGCTTGTGCTTTCTGTGTCTTGTCCAAAAAACAAAAATAAAAACAAAAACAAAAAACTTAGTTTATCCTAAGGTCACAAAACTTGTCTTCTATCTTTCCTCTGGGGATATAACAGTTTTAACTCTGATATTTAAATCATTGAGCACTTTGTAATTAATTTTGTTATGTGGTATAAAATAAGGGTTAAAATTTTTTTCTTTCCGTATGCCTATTCTAATGTAGGCATACTATTTATAGAAAATAAAAGGTATTCTTTCCTCATTGAATTACCTGGCCACTTTTATCATTGATCAATTGAACACCTATGTTTGAGGAAATTTCAGATATCTCTATTAAGTTCCATTCCCAATAGGAATCTATCTTGATTAATGTAGCTTTATATATAGTAAATTATGAATTCAGGCAACATAAGTCATCCAATATTTTTCTTTTTAAAAATTGTTTTGGCTATACTAGGTCTCTAGCATTTCAATATAAATCAAAGCATCTGCTTTTTTTTTCCTGCCAAAAAGCCTACTGGAATTTTGATTGAGATTGCATTGAATCTATAGATCAATGTGGGGAGATTTGATATCTTAACAACATTGAGTCTACCAATCTAAGAACCTGGTATATCTCTCCATTTATTTAGGTCTTCTTTAATTTCAGCAAGCTTTGGCAGATTTCTGTGTAGAGGACTTGTACATCTGTTATTGAATTTATCCTTAATTGCTATTACAATTTTTTTATTTTTCAATTATTCATAGTTAGTATATAGAAATGCAGTTAAGTTTTGGATAATGATTGTAGTGATTTGAATAGTGGCCCCTAAAATCTGTGTGTATCCAGAATCTCAGAATGTGAACTTATTTGGAAATAGTCTTTGCAGATATGAATACTTAAGAATATCAAGATGAAATTATCTTGGATTTAGGGTTGGCCCTAAATACAATAACCAGTGTCCTTATAAGAAGAAGAGAGGACATACAGAGGCACACACACACACACACACACACACACACACACACACAGACAAGCACACACACAAAGTCCATATGAAGATGGAGGCAGAGCCTGGAATTACGCCTGGAGCCACCAGAAGCTGAAAGAAGCAATAAAAGATTATTTCCTGAAGTTATCTGGGAAGGTTGTTCTACATTTTATCCAGTTTTCTAGTTGGTTATGTGGATAAGTCTCATACAGTATCTTGGTGTACATTTTGCAACTAGTTTATTTTGACTTGTATGTCAGCTATCAATTTATTACTTCTTAGCTTGAAATCCATATTTCTTTATCTTGCATTGTCAGAATGAAGTGGATCTTACTTTTTTTATTTTTATAGACTTTGTGGCTACAAATGTAGTTTGTTTCTTTGTTTGTTTTTTTTTTCTTTGAGACGGAGTCTTGCTCTGTCGCCCAGGCTGGAGTGCAGTGGCACGATAGCTCACTGCAAGCTCCGCCTCCCGGGTACATGCCATTCTCCTGCCTCTGCCTCCTGAGTAGCTGGGACTACAGGCGCCCGCCACCATGCCCGCCTGATTTTTTTTGTATTTTTAGTAGAGATGGGGTTTCACCGTGTTAACCAGGATGGTCTCGATCTCCTGACCTCGTGATCCGCCCAGCTCGGCCCCCCAAAGTGCTGGGATTACAGGCGTGAGCCACCATGCCCGGCCTACAAATGTAGTTTTGTTACATGGATATATTGCAGTGGGGAAGTCTGAGGTTTTAGTGTAACTATCACCTGAATTGTGTATATAGTATCCATTAATTTCTCATCCAGCACCCCCCTCCTACCCTCCCATCCTCTCACTCTTCCAAGTCTCCAAAGTCTATTATTCTACTCTCTATGACCACGTGTACAAATTTTTAGCTCCCACTTATAAGTGAGAACATGCAATATTGACTTTCTGTTTCTGAGTTATTTTACTTGAGAATGGCCTCCAGTTCCATCTATGTTGCTGTAAGAGGCATGACTTCATTCTTCTTTATGGCTGAATAGTATTCCAAGGTATATACATACCACATTTTCTTCATCCAATCATCCGCTGATGGACACTTAGGTTGATTCCCTATCTTAGCTATCGTGAATACTGCTGCAATAAACACACAAAGCAGACATCTTTTTTTTGAGACAGAGTTTCACTCTTTTTGCCCGGACTGGAGTGCAATGGCAGGATCTCGGCTCACTGCAACCTCCACCTCCTGGGTTCAAGCGATTATCCTGCCTCAGCCTCTCAAGTAGCTGCGATTACAAGCATGCACCACCAACCCCAGCTAATTTTGTATTTTTAGTAGAGATGGGGTTTTGCCATGTTGGTCAGGCTCATCTCAAACTCCTAACCTCAGGTGATCCGCCCACCTCGGCCTCCCAAAGTGCTGGGATTACAGGCATGAGCCAGCGTGCCCAGCCAGACATCTTTTTGATATAATGATGAACTTTCCTTTGGGTAGAAACTCAGAAGTAGAATTGCTGGATTAAATGGTAGTTCTATTTTCAATCTTTTGAGAAATCTCCATTTTGTTTTTCATAGAGGTTGGGTCAACAAAATTAAGACAGAAATCAAAAATTTTTTGAAATTAGTGAAAGTGGAGACACAATATACCCAGACTTCTTGGATACAGCAAAAGCAGTGCTAAGAGGTAAGTTCATAGCATCAAATGCCCACATTAAAAAAAAAAATAGAAAGCTCAAAAATCAGCAACCCAACATGATACCTCAAGGAACTATAAAAACAAGAACAAACCAAACCCAAAGCTGACAGAAGAAAAGAAATAACAAAGATTGCAGCAGAACAAAATGAAATTGAGACTAAAAAAAAAAATACAGAAGATCTATGAAACAAAAAGTTGGTTCGTTGAAAAGATAAACAAAATCAATAGACTGTTAGCTAGAGTAACCAAGAAAAGGAAAGAGAGAATCCAAATAAATACAATCAGAATGGAGAAAGGAGACTTTACAATTGAAGTGGACCTTGTAAACATTTCTCCTTAGTTAAGTGGAACACATTAGGCTTTGTCAATAGAGGGAACTGGAGAAACTGGAAAGGGGGTTCTTTCTCTCCTCAGTCCTAGTGTGATTTTTTTCCCCTTCCCCTGATGTGGCTGCTGGTGGCGTGGAGAAGGCCCAGCAGTGCTCACCTTTCAACGTTTCTCTGACACCTCGGATGGCAGCTTCCTGCAGACCAGCTTCATCCCCTGATGCCATAGAGAACTTCTCCACCACCCAGCAATCCTCAGCCACACTGTATCCTATGGGGTCTCAATATTAGCCTTATGATGGGAGGGGACATCTAAATTCTTTCTTTCTTCCTTGGCTATGCTCCGTCATCCATGGAGATAGTACTTACTCCCATATTCTTTAGAGTCAATGCTTATCCTTTTTGGCAGTTACCCACTTTTGCAAGTTAATGATTTTTTCATTAAATATTGCCCACTCAATGGAGTGACAACTTTAAAGTACTAAAGGAAAATAAACTGTCAACAGAATTGTGTATGCAATGTTATCTTACAAATCATACAATATCACTTACAAAATGAAGGGGAAAGACTTTTCAAATAAACAAAAACAGAATGTATTTTTAGCAGACCTGAATATAAGAAAGATTGAAGAAATTTCTTCAGGGAAAAGTAATAATACTAGAAAGAAACTTCAATCTACACAAGGAAATAAAAGCACCAAAAATGGCAATGAATTTCATATAAAACTCAAGCTTTAAATGTTCTTAAAGGTCTATTGATTGCCAAAAGCAAAAATGACAGCAATGTCTTGGGAAATAATAGCATAGGTAAAATTATAATAGGTGATAAGTCACATATTATCAGTAGCATGAAAGGTGGTGGTGAAATTGGGAATACAATGTGGAAACGTCTTCACATCACACATAACGGGGTATAGTATTATTTGAAGGTAGAATGTAATTAATTTTAATACCATATAGCAATTCCCACAACAAGCTCTATGGTAAGAGAAACAAAACTTATTTTCATGCCAAAACCTGTAAAAAAATACATTATATGGCTTTATTCATGATAAATAGAAGTAATCTGACCGCATCTCACCTGCAGAATGGAGAAACAAGGGGGCACATCATTACCATGGGACACTAGTAAACAATAAGGAAGAACAAATTGCTTATATATGAAATAAAAAGGATGAATATCAAATTGAATATGCTAAGCGAAAGCAACCAGTCTCAAAAGATTAAATACTGTGTGATGCTATTTACATCACATTCTAAAAAAGGTGAAATTACAAGGACAGAAAGCAATTCAGTGGTGGCCAGGGCTGGGGGTAAGAAGAGAGATTGACTACAAAGGGGTTTGTGGAAACTTTTTGAGGTGATGGAGGTATTCTATATACTGGTTATGGTGGTGATTACATGCCTGGATGCATTTATTTATCAAAAATCAGAGCTGCACACTAAAAACAATAAATCTTATTGCATGTAAATTTACCTTAATTTAAAAGAAAATGAAAAAAATTTCCGTTTTCCTGTTCAAATTACTAGTGTCATATCTGTCTCCTGACTGAACTTTGCATGTATATCAGAAAGTTTACTATATTTTATTGAGAATATTTTTGATAATCTGGGTGTTCAATTATACATGTTTAAGTTTAAATTCCTTTGGCCATTGTTTATGACATAAATTTCAAGGCTTCTACTGACCAACTGTTTGTTAGAAGAGTTCCTAAGGTACCCCCTGGAGTAAAACCCTGGCTGCTATAATTTCATCTCAGTCCACAATGCAAAAAAAAAAAAAAAAAAGGTGTATTGCCTTCTCTTCAGGAATGTGCCCTTGGTAAGCATCTCATTTTTTTACAGTAAGATATCAACCTTGTCTTCAGTGTGACTGACTGTACAAGCACACGTCCATGTACATAATCAGCAAAGTCAAAGAACATCACTCCAACACCTGTTAGGAGCATAACCTCAAATTCACTGTAGCCAATATCCATCAAAAGCTTGAATGTAAAACAATATTTATGGAGGATTGCCTAAACACATGCTATCTATCCTCTCATCTGGTCTTTAAAATTTATCCCTAAGTTAAACTAGACCATCCTAGGGAGTAACCTACCTACACAACACCACTGTGGCCTCTACAAATTGATGTGACTGACATGCTATTAAAGACCTATATTAAGGGAGGTTGTAAGAAAGAGCTTAATGAAGCTCATTGTTTTTGTCAAGGACATTGTTCACTGTGGTACATAGTGTTTCTTTTCTCAGTATAATATATAGTCCTGTCTCTCTTGGTCAATATTTATGATACAGAAACCAAGACTAGCCCTATTCTCATTTTTTTTCACTCACTACTAGAAACTTTAAAGAGAAGTCTTGCTCAGCATCAATGATATTGCACGGAGGATGTAGGAGTATGCATTTTTAAGCCTGAAGAACATACATGAACTAACCTACCTGTAGTCACTTTACTTTTACTCCTTTGTTTTCACCATGTCTCAGTTTTCTTACTCTTGCTAATTCAATTCATCATGCTATTTTATATAATTGCTACTTCAGAAATGATAAAATATAAATAGATTCAAAATTAATACATGTCCATAGACTAGTGATTGGTTTTCTTCTAAGTTAAATAAAGCAAACATGCTTTCTGTCCACTGGCCATAATAAAGCTCAGTGCTAAGCATAGAGAAAAGAATGAAATAGACATCTGCTTTAGGCTATACTTTTACCATCATTCTGTAGAATTTTTGCCTAAATCTCAAGTCTCAAAAATTAAAAACAGAGATTCCCTTTAAGAAAACTTTCTTTTTCTGGTAGTTCAGATTATTGGTACTTATTTTGTCTTACTTGCAGTGGAAGATCCACCACAGTTTTTAATACAAGAAAACTATTTGATGATACTGTCACTAAAATAATATCCAAGGGAGCTATTAGACTAACAGCAAAATGGAACTTGGAAAAAAGATCACACCATTTGTTTTACATGGCTACTATATACAAGAATATGCAAAAGTGAGCTAATAACATTACAATATTCTTTCTCCTGATGGCTGTAAAAGTGTCATAGTAATTACTTCTTATAGTGTGTTGTTACTTAAAGAAACTTAAATGTAGTTTTACGGCATGATTTTTGCTTTCTCAAGACAGAGATAACAGTAGAGACAAGACTGAAGTGAGTGTTCAGAAGTTCATTTCAAGAGACCTGGGTTCTAATTCTGTGTCTTCTATGTCACCCTGAGTAGGTTACAGCTTCTCTAGACTTCAGTTCTATGACAGCAGATGAGAGTGGCCTTGAACATAAATGAGGTCCCTTGAGCTAACAACATCCATACATTCAACAAAAAAATTATTGAAAACCTGCCATGTTTCTGGTTAGCACTAATAAAACACCTGTCCCATCTTCATGGATATCATCCATGAAACACAATATCTAACACAACCTATTACTGCAACAAACACCAAAAATCATGCACTAACGCCTACATCGGTACATTGAAGTACCTACTTCAATGACTCTTATCCTGTAAAGGGCTTTCCAACCCCAAAGTGCTACCTTTCCTCCCCGAGTAAACTTCCTGTCAGTTGCCTCCTGTTTTCTTTTCCCTTTTGGTGGGGAATAAAGATAGATTCTTAGTGCTTAGGTTAATACATCTTTCTGCCTGTGAAGTGATTTGAATCCTAAAGAGGTAGTAAACCCTAGTACTCTCTCTCAGTCCATGTATTTTGATCTTGTATTCAAGAAGACTGCACACATGAAGAGTTTGCAATGCTTGCTTTTGAGGAAAAAAGTGTGTGTGCGTGTGTGTGTAAAACAAAGAGAATCCCTGTGTAAAATGGTTACTATAAGAAAAAAAAAGAGTGACTATTTGAATATAGATACAACTAAGGGAAACTGAGCCATATTTTGTTAAGATTGAAATGAAAAAATAAATGAAACAAGATTTTCATTTTCTTCTCATCATTTTGCGGCTTCAATTGATGAAGAGGAGTGCAAGAAACTGTCTGGAAACTCAACCATATTTTTACAGTCTTAGTGAGTCCAGATAGGATAAAGCCCAGAATGTGCAATTTGAAAAATGATTTTTATATTAGTGAAATATATTTTAGCACATGAGACGACATCTTTTTAATGCTTCCTGCAATACATAGCCTCATCCTGTCCTATAAAGCCTTCATTTTCCCCAGAATGACCTGGCAGCCAGCTGAAAGGACACAGTGGACTGCCTGACTGATTACACCCTTGGAATATTTATGTAACTTTTCGATGGCAGCAAAATGCTGAAAAGAGGATACAGCAGATAAGGTAATGGAAGCCGGCCTGACTTAAGCCTCATGTAATCCCTGACATCTCCTAAATCACTAGGTAAGATTAGTCAGTGATAAAAATTCTCCAACAGTGGGCAGCTCTCTGAAAGCCTGCATCTTCCTGTTGAGTGGAATGTCAAATTTAGAGAATGTATTATCTGACCTACCAAAGATACTACTTTTAAGTCCTTGACCAGTTAAGTAAACAGTGCAGACAACTATTATGTGGTTTTTATTTTACTGTTGTTGTTTTATAGCTGAGTTATATCCCAGCCAGATTCACATTGTGAATGTTTAGTTGAATGCTGCACCAAATGATAGTTGCACCTATTCAGGCCAAACCTCAAGAAATGTTTTTCCTCTTTACTTCTGTCTTTGAATGACTTCTATTCCAAATGTGAAAAGGACACATTTTCCTTTCCTACTGTGTGGCAAAAATAAGGCAATCTCAGATCTCTTCAAAATTGTCTCAATTTTTACCTTTTACAAAGAAAGAAGGAGTCACCTACCTCTTTCTGTAGACTAAGAAGAATGCTATATAAAAATCCATACAGTACAATGTAATTTTTTAATCATTTCATATAAACAGGGAAGATTCATAGAGATACTCAGAAAACAAAGTATTGGGATTTTATGCAAATATATCATTATAGTATACATTTTTATATAATTTTGATCATTGTTAATATTTTCTGCATTATAACATTTATTTGACAACTTCTATCTAACCCAGTTATTTTATTGCAAGGTAATATGGATATATTAGTCTTAAGTCAAAGGTAGATTCTACTATCATGAATTTAAGTGGTATTCTCTATCCAGAACCCAAATGGTCTTATTTGTTAGGTTTCTTGCTAGGTGCAAGATACAGTGAAGGGAGCATTACTCTTTGTTAAATTTAAGAAGCTTGTAATATATAAAGCCATATACAGTATATAAAACTAGAGAAATTCTCTCTCTTCACTTTTTTTTCTAATGTGTGGTCCATGGCCTACCAAAAATACTATGCATCAGACATAACGAGGATGCATATGTTTAGGAGCATTACTAACATTTAAATATGTTGTAACAATTCAGGCACAAAAATCCGGCGCAGAAAAGCTAATACTTTTTCCCCATGATTCTGAAATACTGGAATCAATGTCAACTCTCAAACACATGCACATGAGTTATAGGTTCACCCAAAAGTCAACAACATAGCTAAACAGAAAATCACAACCCACAGTTGGCTCCAATGAGTAAGAATTAAAGAGAAAAAGCCTGTTTCTATCTTGAATTTTGTTCAGAAGTGTTTTTTTTGTTTTTTTTGGTTTTTTTATTATCATTATACTTTAAGTTTTAGGGTACATGTGCACAATGTGCAGGTTCTGTTTTGACTCAGCAGGTGAGGGATGAAAAAACAGTAAAAAATTAACTTCAAGAGCTAGGTGCGGTGGCTCACGCCTGTAATCCCAGCACTTTGGGAGGCCGAGGCAGGTGGATCACAAGATCAGGAGATTGAGACCACCCTGACTAACACGCTGAAACCCCATCTTTATTAAAAATACAAAAAATTAGCCGGGCATGGTAGCGGGCGCCTGTAGTCCCAGCTACTCGGGAGGCTGAGGCAGGAGAATGGCGTGAACCTGGGAGGCGGAGCTTGCAGTGAGCCGAGATCTCACCACTGCACTCCAGCCTGAGTGACAGAGTGAGACTCCGTCTCAAAAAAAAACAAAAAAAAAACTAATTTCAATTTTCAAGTTTTAAAACAGCCATTGTTAATAGTTTAGAATTCAGATCTAGAAGAAATTAAACAGTAAACAACACTGCCAATATGGTAAATGTTAATATTAATGTAAATATTAAGGATTAGGATAATTGCTGTGTTATGGTTCCAGAAATCTGAGTGCTATGGATTAAGGGATTTATTATAGAGATTAGACCTTATGCAACTGTGGGAGAAGAAGAGGAAATAAAAGTACAGAGGACAAAAGTTGGAGGATCAGTTCCACTGAATAGGATGGGGCCTGATTAAGAAGTCTATTGACAGCTGTTGACTCTGCATTTGTTGATGAACTCAAAGTCACTGTAGGTCAGTCAGCAGAGGTGACAAAGAAGAAGAAAAGCTGAATGTAAAAAGGGGTAGAGCAATAAAAACTGAAACCTGCAAAGACAAAGTTAAACCAGTGAACTCACTAGAACGTGTGTTTATCTCTCAGTATTTCCAATCTCAATCACATCCATAACCTACAGACAAAGCTGGTACCCTTCGTCACAGAGCTGAACAAGTATCTGGCCTGGGACTTGAAGTAGCTAAAATCGGAAATCTAGATAAACCAGCAGATCAGCATCATACCCCTCATTTAATGTTCTGTAATATACATTAAGCACTTATCACTACATCTTATGTTAGTAAAGAAATGGAAAAGAATTGATATATAAATATACATATATATACACACACACATATCTACATATACACACATATGTTTATATATGTAAAAATAAATTCATATCAAAATAAGAAATTATCATAACAATTATAGTTCTCATTTCTAATCGGTCATGTTGTTGCAGCTGGTATCTAGAACTTCTCTATTTCACTACCCATCACACATTCTCTTTGCTCTCTAAAGCAATTTGGTTACTAAAGTTTTCTTGCCTGGTAAGGTGACCCAAACCCTCAATTCTAAAATATTTGGCCTATTTATATTCTATCACTATAGTTTTTCATTAACCTTTTTTTTTCTGTAGAGATAGCATCTTGCTATGTTGCACAAGCTGATCTCAAACTTCTGGCCTCAAGGGATCCTACCAAAGTGCTGGGATTATAGGCAGGAGCCACTGTGCTCAGCCATTTCTTTATTAACTTTTATCACAGGTGATGAATGTACTAAGAGGCACCCCAAGGATGTCTGCATTCCTGACATATTCCTTCTAACCTTCCACAGCATAACAGCAATACAATTATCCTCTTGATAATCAAGAGAAACAACCTGAGCCAGCACAGTTGTCTTCTTTGCCTGTTGATTAACAAGCATAAGAAGCCCAGAGTGGTCAGTCTCAACTTCCAAATTAAGGGAACCAATCCAGTGTCCCCTGGTGGAAACATAACTCCCTCAATAGTTAAGATCTCTAAACTAGAAAAGCGTAAAGTCACTGGGTCAGGAATCCAACATTTTGCTAGTGGATCACTAGGGAAATTATGAGAGGACCGTCTCCTATTTTTATTCCTTAATTCCAGGAGTCATGAATCCCAGTTATGAGAGAAAAAGGACCCTGTGTTGGACACTAACCTAGAGCATGTACCACATCCTAGACAACATTGTCCTAAACCCAAATTGCGTTGTCATCTAGCTGGTGCTGTAATAAAATATTTGAAAGACCATTTTACCACTCTCTCTGGTCTTTGCTAGCTATCATTCATGGTTGTTTTTAAAAAGGCATTTTCCAGGTAAATAGCTACATACCAAGTTATGGGGGTAAGTCAATTTGCTTCAAAAACAAAACCACATCTGAACCAGCTGCTAGAATTGGAGTTAGCACATGATTAACTGTATGATAATCCACTGACATTCTCCAAGGTCCATCTTTCTGCTATACAAGCCAAAAGGCAAACTGAATGGAGATTTACATCACCATTTTTCAAGTCTACAGTGGTGATTATAATCTCTACAATGATCCAAGTTTGTGGTATTGCCTTTGACTTATTAGTTGGTAGACAGAAGTTCCAGAGGCTACCACTTGGCCTTTCTTACAATAACAGCCACTATTCCATGGATTAGGGAACTAATGTGGAAACTATGCCAGTTGCTGAATATGCCTGATACAACTATGCATTCCTGAACTGAAGAAATCATCACATAATGGATTCAGGTACCCATTGGTCCACTCAAATCCAAGTCAAAACTCCATTGATTGCTTTACATCTACAACTTTACTCTGTCTAGAAGACCACATTGCATTTAGGGTTTCTAGGAATAGGTGTCAACTATAAGACTATTGTCCAGTAATTCTCAAAAACACTGGTTATTTTTCCTTCTTCAATTTACCACCCTGGTAAATAGCAATAGATCCCTTTGAGGAATGTTAAGATTTCCATTATAGAATTATGGCTGTGTCAAAGGACTGTTCATCCTCAAAGGGACCTGGCCTCCTCTTCACTCAAGGGACTCTGGTTCTGAAAACTGAATCATGTTTGGAAATTGATTGACAGGGAATGACTCTATTGTTGTGATTCAAATCAGACTTTTGTTCCAAGACCTAGAGTTTGCCACTTAAACAATTAAAGTAAGACTAGAAGAGGCTGAATAAGGCTTCCAGTTTTACAGATACCATGATCATCAATGTCCTCTCTCCATAGGTCAAATCTGATGACTGCTTTGCTCTGCTATCCAGTATGTTAACTGTGCCCACCTTACTTCTGGCAACGACGTGCCAGGTTTTGGTCCCTGCCACCCAGGGATCCCCTCATCTCCTTTGAATTCAGGGACTATAGTTTGATGACAGCTTTTTTTCACTGTCAATCCTGAACTATAGAGAATGACAACCACAGAGCTCTCCAAGGACACTGACTTTTTTTTTTTTTTTTTTTTTTTTTTTACAAATATTTCTTACAGCTTTGTTCAAGAGCATCTTCCTTCCTTCTTTCTTACAGTTTTGATGAGGGAGTGTTCTCTGGTCCCTTCTGAGGGACAGAATTCAGAACTGGGTACACAACTCTTACATAACAAATCTACTTTTACATTCCAACCTTTCTGACCCTTTGCATATCTTCCTCTATGGTAAAGCAAGGAACTCCTGAAATTTCAAATTCAATTAGTGTAGGCCACCTCTGGGCCCATGTTTCAGTAAACTCACCAAGAAAACTCAGAGCCATGCTAACTGTCTAAGCTACAAAACTAAACCCAGAATCTCTCCTTAGTTCATCCATATCAACAAATTCAGCCCAATCCAATATTTCATTTCTTCTTCACCGTTCCAACTTCTGTATTATCCATTTCCATACATGTACCCCAGGATTCTATCCATGTAAATTCGTAAAATCTTGCAGTTATCTTGGCATGTCTGGTACCTTTCATGTGTCACATTTTGTACCTAACATCCAGGGCTGGCCTGAGGATTTTAGTCTGGATATAGATCTAGAAGACAATATCTAGGGGTAGATTCTAAGGAGGATCAGCAGGGCCTTGCAATGATTTTACCTTAAAGGAAGCTTCATGTTCTTCAGACAAGGGGAGACTAACACCCATCGGCAAGGGATGAAGAGCTGCTTCTCCTGGCAAAGGAGACTCAGCAGAATTTTGGTTTCCCATGTCCCCCACTTTATGAGGATCTGTTCGTATGTCCCCATCTCAATTATTTTGGTTTTCACTTCTCCCAACTCAAATTACTAACTTTTAACATATGAAACTCTGAAGGATTGTGAATTCAATTTGTGTTGAATTTCAGGCAATTTTAGGACTAGACTTTGGATTTAACTTTCAGAAATCTCATCCCTGTGATTACAGTAGGTAAAAGCGTATTTTAAGATAGTCATAAAAGCATTCTAGTCCATTCCTTGAATCTTGAGACTTGAAGCCACCATTTCTTTCTTTTTTTTTTTTTCCTTTTCTTTTTGAGACAAAGTCTCACTCTGTTGCCCAGACTAGAGTGTAGTGGTATGATCATGGCTCACTGTAGCCTCAAATTCCTGGGTTCAAGTGGACCTCCTGCCTTAGCCTCCCAAAGCACTGGGATTATAGGTGAGAGCCACCATGTGTGGCCCATTTCCTTATTCATGCTTCCCGAACACTTAGAAAGAGCTGAGCAGCAGCATTATGGCCTGTGTTTTGAACAAAATTTCAATGGCAGCAAGTATCTGGCCATGCAAAGCCTTGCCTTCTATAGTCACTTGATTGCAGTTGTCCACAGTTGATCATTTAAGATCCTATTTTGCCATGGCATGGCATGCTACTAGTATCCCCTTTGTCACTGGAGACTAGGTCATTAATGCATCTAAATTTTATCAGATCAGAAAAACATTTGCAGATTATTCAGAACCAATACAAAGACCCCATTCTCAAGGTTCTGTTCCTATGGAAGCTCAAAAAACAGGCTACATTTGGTACCACCGAGTGAGAATTAAAGCGAAAAAGCCTGCTTCCATTTGGGATTGTGTTTAGAATGATCTATTTGACTAAGCAGGTCAAAGATTAATAAAAACAAGCAAAAACGAATTTAAACCTCAAA
This sequence comes from Homo sapiens, assembly GCF_000001405.40. NCBI lineage: Eukaryota > Metazoa > Chordata > Mammalia > Primates > Hominidae > Homo > Homo sapiens. The sequence continues at coordinate 89,950,015 of NC_000007.14, forward strand.
GTTGTACATGTTGAACACATTTTTGATGCCCAAAAATTTCCGTTCAATTAAGCAAAAATATAGACAATGTTCAAAACCGCCAATGTTTTCTACATCATATGTTTTAACTCTAAAACAAACTACAGAGGCCTGGCACGATGGCTCATGCATTGTAATCCCAGCACTTTGGGAGGCCAAGGCAGGTGGATCACGAGGTCAGGAGTTCAAGACCAGCCTGGCCAATATGGTGAAACCCCATCTCTACTAAAAATACAAAAATTAGCCGGGAGTGGTGGCATATGCCTGTAGTCCCAGGTACTCAGGAGGCTGAGGCAGAGCAATCGCTTGAACCCGGGGGTGGAGGTTGCAGTGAGCCAAGATCATGCCACTGCATTCCAGCCTGGGCAACAGAGTGAGACTCCGTCAAAAAAAAAAAAAAAAACTAGAAAATGACAGTGTTTTCAATATATTAAATGTTAGTATTACTGATTAGCTTGAGTGCCTAGACTAAATCCTAGGGGAAAAAATGAAAGATAGCTATACTAGATTTATTAGGGAAAGCAATTTTCATAAAGGCAATGTATTTGATAAAGCAAAGCATATGGTCTAGCTGGCAATTAATACAAGCCCTGTGGTGTGATATTTGCCTGTACGTGTGTGGCAAAACATCTTTCTCATATCACCCTATTACAATAAAATGCATTCGCAGCAAAAGTAAGTGCACTGTCAGCCTGGAAAAAGCCAATGATTGGTATCTCTGAATCCCTTTATGTATAGAAAATATCTTCTCTCTCCTTCCCCTTGAGCTTTTAGAGTCAGGGTTTTAAAAACAGCAGAAAAGAAATCCTCTTTGAAATTTCTTTTAAGCTGATTAGCTGACACTTAATGAGTATTAGATATTGCACTGGACGACAATAGGCATATATATATGTAGACATAACTTTCAGGTACTAAAAAACTCCACCTTCAAAACCAGCTCTTAAAGTATTTAAATATTTAACAGAACTGAGTACATTTGTCCAAATGATGCTTTCCTTAATATCACACAAGGCACTAGCATCCAACTTGTCCCTCCAAGTGCCCTAGACATGGTGCCAAGCAAATGCTGGCAGGCTCTTCTAAGCATACTCTTTCTAGGTATAGATCCATGAAATAGTGCCAGTTCAATGTGATGTGGCTTCTTGCAAATGCTCTTTTAATGCATTGTATTCCCCAACAAATAATGTCTCATGTCTGGTATGTCAATTTCTTTCTACAACATGGGAATCTTTCAATCTATTCATTCTTGTTTATAAATGCAAACTTTGCATTATTCTATTCACACATACACACCAAAAAGAAACATATACTAGTGCATTCCAAAATATGTTCCAATTATACTAATTTAGTCTTTTGGATCTATTCAAGTTTTTCAAACATTAGCTCTTACTGAACTCCTTCAAAATACAGTCACATTTTAAGACTGCAGGATTAGTTAAGTGCAAGGTCACATTGCAAAGTCAGTAGTACAGAGAGCAAAGATTCTCAGAATCACTGATCTCTCTTCCCTTTTAGTGACCTTAGACTTGCCCCCTTCTTCCTTCTCACCAAGCAAAAGACACTCTCACTTCCACAAGGGTCTCAATCCCACTATGTCCAATACTAATGAGGAGGGAGAGACCTTCATCTTAGTAACCTCATCACAAAAGAACAGAGGGGAACAAGTTCGTTATTATAGCAAAGGTCAACATAGGTCTTTATAGAAAACTAACATATATAAAGATGTAGCTCATCAGGGGTTGGAAAGGAAAGAGAACCAAATGTTTATAATCACCTGCATTATCCTGCAGCTATTGAAGAAGAGAAAGTTGTCACCAATGCATCTACATTTTTAAATTCCTTTAGTCTCCTTTAAAGGTGCCTACCTCATTTTACATAGAAGTGTAAATTAATACAGAGAAGTGCTGAAATCATGAATGTAAGACTTAATGGATTCTACAAGCTAAATACACCTGACATTATTGTCCATATCAAGAATCAAAACAATACCAGAATCTCTGTGCCTTTTTTTCCCTGTTTTGAACCATCACAGCTGTCCTGGGTACAAAGGAGTCAGTGCCAGGACATTTCTCATATTTCATTTATACAAGCTACTTATTACAGAGCAGCATACAGAACTTTTAGGGAATGTAACTTATACAACACTGAGCACAGAATATATCTAAAATTTCTCCACTTCTCACCACCAGATACTGCTACCATTTCTAGCCCGGAATTTTGCAATAACCTCCCAATTTATAATCCCTGCTCTTGTCTTTCCCCTTCAGAAAATCTTCAAACTAGCAGCTAGAGGGAACTTTTTAAAGTAGGCACTCCATCATGGCATTCAGATCGTATCATTCCCCCACTTATAGTAACATTTCTTGCTCTTGGCTGCACATTGGGTAGCTTCAAAACCTACCATTGTCTGGAGCCACCCGCCAGAAATTCTGGTTTAATTGGTCTAGAGTATGTACTGAGCTCCACAGGTGATTCTAATATCCAGACTTTGCTATGACCTCAAGGCCCAACATGAAGGCAAGTTACCTTTTTAATTTCAGCTCTTACTGTGCTCCCTCATTTAGACTATCTCAAATACACTGACCTCCTCTCTGTTCCATGAAGTCAACGGGCCCACCTCTGAACCACTACACTTGATGTTCCATATTTTTCTTCATTGCTTCTTTTCCTGTGACAGCTAGCTCCTTCACTTCCTTTACATCTTTTTAACTTTTAAGTTCAGGGTACAAGTGCAGGCTTGTTCCATAGGTAAACTTGCATTATGCAGGTTTGTTGCATAGATTGTTTCATCACACAGGTATTAAGCCTGGCACCCACTAGTTGTTTTTGTTTATCCTTTCCCTCTTTCCACCCTCCACCTTCCAGAAGGCCCCAGTGTGTGTTGTTCCCCTTTGTGTGCCCATGTGTTCTCATCATTTAGCCCCCACTTATAAGGGAGAACATGCAATATTTGGTTTTCTCTTCCTGTGTTAGTTTGCTAAGGATAATGGTCTCCAGCTCCATCCATGTCCCTGCAAAGGATGGCTGCATAGTATTCCATGCTGTATATTTACCACATTTTCTTTATAATTCTCGTTCTCAGTGACACCTTCACTGGCTACCCCTGACATTTTATACCCCCCGTCCTGATTCATATTTTCAGCAATAATCACTATCCAACATACAATATATCTTCTTTATTTATTTTGTTCCACCTGAAGAAGCCTGTTGGTTCAGGATGGTGCCCCTAACTCATGGAGCAATGCTATTACACAGCCGGAGCTCAAGAAATGTTTATTAAATAAACAAATGGCATTTTCAAGTAATGAAAACCCTGCTAAAGAACTTTGAGACAGCATCTAACAGCCAACATTGGAATATTCATTGTGATCATAAGCCTTAAGCACATTCTCAACCAAAACTGGCTAAATGAAAACAACCTAGATAAGAAGTTGCCATGTACAGCAAAATACAGATACACTGTCTGCACTTCATCCTTCAGACAAAAGAAACCCCTAGAGCAAAGGTTATTTCTTCTTTTGTGGAGCATTCAGAGCTTTCAGGACTACCAGACATCTAAAAGCCTACAGAAATTAAAAAAAAAAAATCAAATGGGAAATAGACCATGTTTATCCTCTCCCTTGCATATATATTTTTTTCATATTTCCTTTGTAATTCACTCATTTGGGGTCTGAGAAATTTCTTTATATGTCATTGTGGAGGTGCACTCATTCACAATGATTGCTTTCAAGCACATGACATGGCATCCACTTCACCCCCAACTCTCTGCTGCCTCAAGAAGACTGTCCTAGAGAAAGTTAACATCCTGATTCCTTTTATTTTTTTTTGGTCAAGAAATAAATCTTGAAATAAAAACTCCTGAACTTTCTACCCTGCCTAAAATTTTGGGCTAAATAAAATATCTTCTGAATTACCAATCCAACAAGAGAGAGATTTTTTAAAAGAGAGAAAAAGAGAACAACTCATCAGCAGAGCAGAAAAATCACAAATCACTAAACACAGGGCTATTTCCAGTTGCACCCATAAGCAGTGCTGCTAAAAACTAGGTCTCAATTCCACTGGGTCTAAGCCTTCCTCTTGCTCGAAGAAGCAGCTAAAACATTGTTCGTTCCCCACTTGCCTCAGAGACAGTGAGATTCTTGAGGCTTCTGTTTAGAAAAATTGTTACAGTCTCTCAATACGTCTGTGTTTTTATTATCACTGTTAATAATGAAAAACAAACTGTGGTCCTTCGTAGCTCCGATACACATGCTGATAACCAATCTACCTGAACACTATAAAATTCCTGGTAGTCTCAATAAATATTTGATAAAATAATAAAACTCTCACAGTTCTGAATTCTTTTCTACTTCCTATATGTTCAACTTCATATAGGGATTTCTGATTATAGAACTAGCATAAAAAGAGCCTTCTAAAATTTGGATTTATATTTAAATTCTGTTCTAGTGATGAAATTTCATTCCTAAGCTACAAACCAGCAAGATAAACCAGGCAAATCATTTTGCTTCATTTTTTCTTTTCATGCTCCCATCCTTAGACTTAAAATAATCCCAGCAGAAAATGATAAACCCTATTTCCTAGTATTCTATCATTAGACAGACTGTTCTAATAAGTAATATTTTAAGAAACAAAATAACCAAGAGTTCATTGATTAAACAAACAACTAGTTTGTTCAACAAATAGTTATAGAATGCTATTTACTATACTCATATTTTTGGCAATACAGCAATAAACAAATACACACAATCCTTTACCTCATGCACATTATCATCTAAAGGGGGAGAGAAACATTTATTACATAAACTTAAATATATCTATCTACATTCAAAAAGTATTTATCAAGCTCCTTTACGGCATAGGAGTTGGGTAAAAATGGTGCACAAAATACATATGACCAATGTTTTCATGGAGTCTAATGAAGAAGACTGTATTAGCCTATTTTCATGCTGCTGATAAAGACATACCCGAGACTGGGCAATTCACAAAGAAAAGAAGGTTTAATGGAGAATCACAGATCCACATGGCTGGGGAAGCCTCACAATCATGGCAGAAGGCAAGGAGGAGCAAGTCACATCTTATATGCATGGCCACAGGCAAAGAGAGAGCTTGTGCGGGGAGACTCCTATTTTTAAATCCATCAGATCTCTTGAGAACCATTCACTATCATGAGAACAGCACAGGAAAGACCCACCCGCATGATTCAGTCATCTCCCACTGGGTCCCTCCCACAACACGTGGAAATTATGGGAACTACAAAATGAGATTTGGGTGAAAACACAAAGCAAAACCATATCTTTCTGTCCCTGGCCCCTCCCAAATTTCATATCTTCACATTTCAAAACCAATTATGTCTTCTTAACAGTCCCCCCAAAGTCTCAACTCTTTTCAGTATTAACTCAAAAGTCCACAGTCCAAAGTTTCATCTGAGACAAGGCAAGTCCTTTCCACCTATGAGCCTGTAAAATCAAAACCAAGTCAGTTAATTCCTAGATACAATGGGGGTACAGGTATCGTGTAAATACACCCATTCCAAATGGGAGAAATTGGCCAAAACAAAGGGGCCACAGGCCCCATGCAAGTCCAAAATCCAGTGAGGCAATCAAATCTTAAAGCTCCAAAATGATCTCCTTTGACTCCATGTCTCACATCCAGGTCACACCTATGAAAGAGGTGGGTTTCCATGGTTCAGGCAGCTCCACCCCTGTGGTTTTTCAGGGTAGTACTTCCCTCCCAGCTGCTTTCATGGACTGGCATGGAGGGTCTGTGGCTTTTTCCGGCACACAGTGCAAGCTGTCAGTGGATCTATCATTCTGGGGTCTGGAGGATGGTGGCCCTCTTCTCACAGCTCCATTAGGTGGTGCCCTGGTAGGACTCTGTGTGGGGGCCCCAAACCCACATTTCCCTTCTGCACCACCCTAGCAGAAGTTCTCCATGAAGACCCCGCCCCTGCGGCAAACTTCTACCTGGCATCCAGGGATTTCCATACATCTTCTGAAATCTAGGCAGAGGTTCCCAAACACCAGTTCTTGACTTCTGTGCACTGGCAGTCTCAACACCATGTGGAAGTTGCCAAGGCTTGAGGCTTGCACCCTCTGAAGCCATGGCCCAAGCTCTACATTGGCCCCTTTCAGCCATAGCTGGAGCAGCTGTGACACAGGGCTCCAAGTCCCTAGGCTGCACACAGCACGGGGACCCTGGACCTAGCCCCTGAAACCACTTTTTCCTCCTAGGCCTCTGGGCCTGTGATAGGAGGGGCTGCCATGAAGACCTCTGATATGCCCTGGAGACATTTTTCCCATTATTTTGGGGATTAACATTCAGCTCATTACCTAGGCAAATCTCTGCAGTCAGCTTGAACTGCACCCCAGAAAATGAAATTTTCTTTTCTATCACATGGTTAGGCTGCAAATTTTCTGAACTTTTATGCTCTGCTTCCTTAATAAAACTGAATGCCTTTAACAGCACCTAAGTCACACCATGAATGCTTTGCTGCTTAGAAATTTCATCTGCCAAATACTGTAAATCATCTCTTTCAAGTTCAAAGCTCCACAAATCTCTAGGGCAAAGGAAAAATGTCAGCAGTCTCTTTGCTAAAACATAACAAGAGTCACCTTTACTCCAGTTCCCAAAAAGTTCCTCATCTCCATCTGAGACCACCTCAGCCTAGACTTTATTGTCCATATTGCTATCAGCATTTTGGGAAAAGCCAAAGTCTTTAGGAAGTTCCAAACTTTCCCATATTTTTCCATCTTCTTCTGACCTATCCAAACTGTTCCAACCTCTGCCTGTTACCCAGTTCCAAAGTTGCTTCCACATTTTCAGGTATCTTTTCAGCAGGGACCCACTCCTGGTACCAACTTACTGTTTCAGTCCATTTTCATGCTGCTGATAAAGATATACCCAAGACGGGGCAATTTACAAAGGAAAGAGGTTTGATGGAGAACTCACAGTTTCTCTTGTCTGGGGAAGCCTCACAATCATGGCAGAAGGCAAGGAGGAGCAAGTCACATCTTATGTGCATGGCAGCAGGCAAAGAGAGAGCTTGTGCAGGAAGACTCACATTTTTAAAACCACCAGATCTTGTGAGACCCATTCACTATCATGAGAACAGCATGGGAAGGACCCACCCCATGATTCAGTCATCTCCCACCAGGTCCCTCCCACAACACATGGGAATTATGGGAGCTACAAGATGAGATTTGGGTGGAGACATGGAGCCAAACCATATCAAAGACAAACATTAAATAAAGCCAGCAACAGCAATAAGTTCTATAAAGGAAACTAACAAGGTTCTACGAGAGAAAATAACGAATTTTTTCAGGAAGTGACATATCAGCAGAGAAATGAAAAATGAGTAGGTGTTAAATGTGTGTTTAGCAAAGAGCAGTCTGAGAAGATAGGAAGGTTTGCACAAAGACCCTGCCAGAAAATACTTGCCAGTTTGAGAAGAACTGTGAAACTACACTAATAATGCCTGGAGTGAAGATAATATTTGAAGATGAGTTAAACAAGCTGGGTGCAGTGGCTCATGCCTGTAATTCCAGCACTTTGGGAGGCAGAGGCGAGCGGATCACTTGAGGTCAAGAGTTTGAGACCAGCCTGGCCAACACGGTGAACCCCCTTCTCTACTAAATATACCAAAAAAAAATTAGCCAGGTGCAGTAATGCGTGCCTGTAATCCCAGCCACTAGGGAGATTGAGACAGGAGAATTGCTTGAACCCAGAAGGCGGAGGCTGCAGTAAGCCAAGATCAGGCCCCCCATCTCCAGCTTGAATGACAGAGCAAGACTCTATCTCAAAAAAAAAAAAAGACTTAAACAGAGTTCATATCAGAACTTTTATATTAAATTTCTGAAGAACATTAATTTTTTTCAAAATTTCCGAAGTTCGCATGTAACAGAATTTTATGCGTCACTCACTAATGTACTGCTTCACAAAGCATCCTTCATGAACCATCATTTTCATTTTAAACAGTTTTATAGCCCAGTGCATTTAGAATTGCAGCTGAAACAAAATTAAATCAATACCTTTTGTGCAGAACTTCTCAAATATTTAGAATGATAAATTGTAAATATTCATATGGAGAAAGAGGGGCAGCACTTAACAAACATTATATTATGGAACTCTTTTGGAGTATTTCAGCAGACTACTGCATAAACAGAACACATTCTGAAAAATAGTGCATTAATGCATTTTTCCAAAAAGTATTTATTGAAGACCTACCACATTACAGTTCCTATTCTGGATTCCAGAGATACGGTGATTAATGAGGTAGACCACCTGCCCTAGGGAAACAGTGTACCTAGTAGGAAGGAGTGATACCCATACATCAGATTACTATGAGTGTTATTCCAGACATATGTGCAAGTAGGTATGGTAACACATAACACAAGTGGGAGCATCTAGCACTTATCTACTAGGCTTAAAGGAGGATAAATGTTGATACTAATTCTTGAAAATAGTAATCAATATACAGTATACTTTAAAACTTCTTATTTTTACAACTGTGGAATTATACAATTTAAAACCTGAATGAGATCTTAGAATAAACTATCTCAAGTTTCTCTTTTATCCATAGGTAGAAACTAAAACTCAAACAAAACATCTTTTTACATAATAATTTCATGATAGAGTTAAGATGAAAATTTGATTTCTAGTATACAGTAATGAGGGCATTTTATTAATTGTATTGCATCATAGTAACAACATTCAGAATATTAGAGCATTTTCTCTCCATGCTTTCAAGACCCTAAAAGACATTTTCATGTCTTAGCCATAGACTCTCACACTTATTGGGCTACATTTCCAACCAACCAGCCCCAAAAATTTGGTATGACAAAGTTTAGGCCACATGGCATGAAAATGTCTTTTTTTAATATGTATATATAATATATATTAAATTATAATATATATTTTTAATTTAAATATATATTTAATTTAATTTAAATATATATTTAATTTTAAATATATATTTAATTTAAATATATTTAATTTTAAATATATATTTAATTTAAATATATTTAATTTTAATATATATTTAAATATATACAATATATAATATATATTAATATATAATAAAATATATATTATATATTTATAATATATAATTATATTATAAATTATATATATTATATAATTATATATTATAAATTATATATATTATATAATATATATTATAAATATATATAATATGTATATATTATATTTTGATATATATAAAATATAATATATAATAAAAATATAATATATATATTTTAATTTAAATATATATTTAATTTAATTTAAAAATATATATTTAATTTAAATGTTCTATATATTATACATAATGTATATATAATATATATACATTACATTATATATACACATTTATATGTAGAGAACAGGCAGATGCTGTTTAATATGCATATTAAATGTATATATACATTTAATATATATTATATATACATTACATTATATATAATATATATTATATATACATACATTACATTATATATATTATATGTATATATAAAATCTATCCTAGAGATATAGATAAATGATAGATAGATAGATATAGAGATAGAGATATATATCCTATACATATACGCACACACAGAGATGGTATATTTTCTATTTTTCTATTCAAGCTGAAGGCCTAAGAACTAAGAGAGCCAATAGTATAGTTTTATCCCAAGAGCCAGCCAACTGAGATCAAAGAAAGGCCAGTGTTTCTGTTCAAGTGTGAAGGCTGGAAGAGACCCATGTCCAGCTCAATGTCAGGCTGAATGGGATCCCCCTTACTCAGTGCAGAGTCTGCCTGTTTGTTATCTACGGGTCTTCGACTGATTAGATGAGAACCGCTCACATTAGGGAGGGAAACCTGCTTTACTCATTCTACCAATTCAAATGTTAATCTCATCCAGATACACCTTCACAGACAGGCTCAGAATGTTGGCCAAATGTCTGGGCACCCCACAGCCCAGTCAAATTGACACATAATGTTAGCCATCACAAGTCAACCCCTTATCAATTTAATGCCCATACTCACCTCCTTAAACCACACTTAATCTCCAAATAAAAGCAATAACAAGGTCATAATTCCACCTAACATAATACAATTATTCTATGTACAATTACAAACACACTAACTTTTTCCCCAGAAGACAAGATAAGGTCTTTGAGTGAGATTCACTCAAAGATTCACCCATAAGATTATTACCATTTTTACTGTACATTTTCTATGTTTAGATATGTTTAGGTACACAAATATTTGCCAGTGTGTAACAATTCCCAACAGTATTCAGTACAGAATGTGCTGTACAGGTTTGCAATCTAGGAGAAACAGGCTGTACCACATAGCCTAGTTGTGCGGTAGGCTGTACCATCCAGGTTTCTGTAAGTACACTATGATGTTCGCACAACAACAGAATCACCTAAGGACACATTTCCCACAACTTATCTTTGTCATTAAGTGATACATGGCTGTACTACGATGTAAAATTAATAATACTTAAGAACTGCAGTATCAAATCAATTCATCTTATGTTACGTGGTTAGAAAATAAGGGAGAAAAGAAAACAAAGATATTTGTACTTTTTCATTATTCATTCTGTATTCCTTTTGCCCTCAGCAAGCACATCTGCTAGTAATGGTTTTTTACCTGGTGGGAGTGACCCAATCTTTCATTTCTGGAGGGTCTGGGCCATTAGTAGTCCTGCCTGGACTGGGTTGTTGTAGTTTTCCTTTAACCTCAATCACAGGGTATAGTGATATTAAGAGATGCCCTAGGCAGGGCACAGTGGCTCACACTTGTAATCCCAGCACCTTGGGAGGCCAAGGCAGGTGGATCACCTGAGATGAGGAGTTCAAGACCAGCCTGGCCAACATTGTGAAACCCCATCTCTACTAAAAATTCAAAAATTAGCCGGGCATGGTGGTGCATGCCTGTAATCCCAATTACTAGGGAGGCTGAGGCAGGAGGATCACTTGAACCCGGGAGGCGGAGGTTGCAGTGAGCTAAGATCATGCCACTGCACTCCAGCCTGGGCAACAGAGCGAGACTCCGTCTCAAAAAACAACAACAACAACAACAACAAAAAAGATGCCCTAAGGGATCACCTGTATTCCTGATACATTCTTCCTTACCTCCATTGTGAAGTAGCAGTCCAATTTCCCCTTGGTAGTCAAGATCAATCACCCCAACAAGCACAGTAGCTTGCTTCTTTGAATGTTCACTTGGAGGCATGAGGAGCTGAAAGTACCCTGCTGTAGTCTTAACTTCCAGTTCAGTGGAATCATTGTTGTATCTCCTGGTAGAAGCATTTCTGTATTTGGAACTAAGGCCTCTAGGCCAGCAGAGCATAAGGTCATGGAATAAGGTCATGGAATCAGAAAGCAAACTTTTGCTAGTGAATCACTAAGGGCAATAGTGAGTGGTGCCACTTCCATTTCCATCCCTTCATTCCTAGACCCATGAATCCTGACTATGGGAGAAACAGCACCATATATTGTATGCTCATTCGGATAATATATAGTTGGCCCTCTGTATCCATAGGTTTCACATCGAGAGATTCAACTAACTACGGATCAAAAATATTTGGAAACCAAATTTCACCTTGATATGGTTTGGCTGTGTTCCCCACTCAAATCTTCTCTTGAATCATAGTTCCCATAATCCCCACGTCATGGGAGTGACCTGGTGGGAGGTAATTGAATCATGGGAGCAGTTACTCCCATGCTGTTCTCATGATAGTGAGAGAGTTCATGAGATCTCATGGTTTTATAAGGGCCTTTTCCCCCTTTGCTCAGCACATCTCTCTCCTGCCACCATGTGAAGAAGGATGTGTTTGCTTCCCCTTCTACCATGATTGTAAGTTTACAGAGGCATTCCCAGTCATGTAGCTCTGTGAGTCAATTAAACCTATTTCCTTTATAAATTACCCAGTCTTGGATATTTCTTTATAGCAGGATGAGAATGGACTAATACATTTTCTGAACAAGTACAGACTTATTTTTCATGTCATTCTCTAAACAATGCAGTACAATAGCAATTTACATAGCATTTACATTGTATTAGGTATCATAAATAATCTAGAGATGTTTAAAGGATACAGGAAGATGTGCATAGTTTATATGCGAATAACACACCATTTTACATCAGGAACTTGAGTTTCCATGAATTTTGGTATATGCAGGGGGTCCTGGAACCAATGCATGGCTACTGACTAACAACTGTACAGCCTTCTGTAGAACCTTGCCCAAATCCTGCAAGGTATTACCATCTAGATAACAATGTAACTGAGTCTTCAAAAAGTCATTCCCCAGTTCTATCAAACCAGCTGCTTCAGGATGGTAGGGAATATAGCAAGACTGTTGAATTCCATCATGATGGGCCAATTGCCACACTTCTTTTCTGTAAATTGAGTTATATGATCAGAAGCAATGTTGGGATATCATGATGGTGAATAAGACATTCTTTAAGTCTTTGGATGGTAGATTTAGAAGAAGCATTATGTGCCAGAAAGGCAAATTCATGTCCAGAGTAAGCGTCTATTACAGTAAGAACAAAATGTTTCCCCATCCATGATGGATGGAAGTGGTTCAATGTAATCAACCTGCCATCAGGTAGCTGATCAACCTGGGGAATGGTATCAAACTGGGTACTCAATGTTGGGCTCTGCTGCTGGCAGATTGGGCACTCTGTGGCAGTCATAGCTCAAGTGGCTTTGGTGAATGGCATCCATGTTGCTGAGCCCAGGCATGATCTCCATCCATGCTACCATGGCCACTTTGTTCATGAACCAACGAGGTGATAACAGGCTATCTGGAGAAAGAGGCTGGCTGGTTTCCCGAGAACTGGTCAACCTATGCAGTTAATTATTAAAGTGCTTCTCTGCTGAGGATACCATTTGGTAAGCATTCACATGGGATACAAATAATTTCACATTTTTGCCCATTCACAGAGTTCTGTCTTCATACCTCTTCCCTAAATTTTCTTGTAACCAATTTCCCAATCATGTTACTTCCAAGTCCCTAACCATCCAGCCAAACCATTGGCCACCGCCCATAGTCAGCATGCAATCACATGTCTAGTCATTTCTCTTTGCAAGCAAAATGAACAACTAGGTGCACTGCTTGAAGTTCTGCCAATGGATCACAGGAAATTCCCTATGAAGCCATAGGTGCAAGGCTGGGAGAGAGAAGGGAGTGTAACAGCAGTGGGGACCACTGGCATTTGAACCACTTTTTCATTTAATTTACTTGTGTTTTCAGTACCTCCTCTGGCCTGATCATGTACAAACTACTTCCATTTGATGATGTAGCACTGCTAAACATGCCCAACGTTATGCCTTGGTGGGTCTCTTTACTACTGTAAATGTGTCATTAGCATGTTTAAATCAAATCATATTAGCGATCAAACTTCAGAAACCTCACAACGAATTCAGAAAACTTACCCTTAAAATTCTGTTTCTCTAGAACCACTGTCAGTACCAAAATCTACGGGTTAGAGTTCCTCAGAGAAACAGAACCAACAGTATTTGATTTATATCCAACTTATTGTAAAAATTTGGTTCATATGATTATGGAGGCTGAGAAGTCCTAAAATCTGTAGTTGGCAAGCTAGAGGCCCAGGAGAACCAGTGGTATACTTCCAATCTGAGTCAGAAGGCCTGAGAACCAGGAGCACTGATGTTATAAATTTAGTCTGAAATATGGCAGGCTCAAAACCCAAGAAGAGCCATTTTTCAGTTTGAATCCAAAGACAGGAAAAGACTAATGTCTCAATTCAGATGGTGAGGCAAGAGTTCTCTCTTACTAAAGATATGGTCAGCCTTTTTGTTCTTTTCATTCCTTTAACTGATTGGATGAGGGCCACCCACATTAAGGAGGGCAATTTGTTTAACTCTGTCTATGAATTCAAATGGTAATTTCATTCAGAAACACCCTTGCAGACACACCCAGGATGTTTGACCAAAGATCTAGGCCTACTCAGGTTGACACATACCATTAGCCATCACAACACCTTAAATAATAGACTTAAACAGTTCCTTACTAAAGCCTAAAATTTTGAGTGTGGTTTGGGGTAGTAATAAATTTAGGACTCTCATCTTTCTGTAAACTTTACTAAATATTAAATAAATGTTAATACTGTTACAGTAGGTAGTTAGGCATAAGTGGGGCAGGAGAGGGCTCTCCCAACCCACAAGAAATGTTGGGTGATCGTTCGGCAGTTATCACATTGCCTCTGTAAAAGTGATAAATTGGGAGCCAGTGCCAGGGAGAAGCCATTTCCTGATGGTCCACAACTACTGCACTAAAGTGTTCATTGAAAGCAGAAGCCAGGGAGAAGGAACTTCCTGGGCATGCACGTTAAGAGACAAAATGGCAGAGTATGATATTCCAGGGTCACTCTACTGGAAAAAGGAAGAAAGCCTCAGATGGGCATATGTACAACTTCCTAAACACAATGCACTTGTTCACTTCCCAAGGGTAAGGAGGGCACTGTGCATGTGGGCAGCCCACCGTAAGGGAAGAATCATGGGAAGGAGGCCAGTCTATAAAGTCCTAGAATCAAGGTTAAATGTCACACTTGAACTTCTCTCTCTTTAACCTTCACATGTCATCTTGGGTCTCTGTCAAGTGAATTTTCCTTCCTTTCCTGTTCTAAGATCTTTTAAATAAACTTCCACTCCTGCTGTGAAACTTGCCTCAGTCTCTTTTTCTGCTTCATGCCCCTCAGTCAAATTTCTTCTGAGGAGGAGGAAAAAAAATTGAAGTTGCCACAGATGCATATGGATTCATCACCAGTAACTTGGGGTAACTCAGATCTCTTCCATCGGTAACAATACTGGTATTTTCTAGTTCACAGAATAAAGGGGAAAATGTAGAAGGATGACAAATTTGTAAGAGAAAAAAATGCTGTTATCAAGTCAAACCTCAATTGCTTGACTTCAGGCTGCTGGAGAGAAGTTTTAATGCGTAAATTCTAGTTTGAAACCTTAGTAATTTGGGGAGGAGTTGGTGGTGCTGATAAAATATTCGTGAAGAGTAAAATGAACAGAATAATGTAAAAGGGGGGCAATCTGGTTGACCAATTGGGAAACATAAACTACCATTTGCATGGTGATAAAGGCCAGTAACCTACTTAAACACTGTCTCAGGAGTCCCAGAGCTTTGTAGTGTCTTGAAGTTGCTTGTTTGTTTGTTTGTTTTGAGATGGAGTCTCACTCAGCCACTCAGGCTGGAGTGCAGTGGCACAATCTCAGCTCGCTACAACCCTCACCTCCCGGGTTCAAGCAATTTTCCTGCCTCAGCCTCCCAAGTACCTGGGACTACAGGCATGGCTAATTTCATTTAATATACCACACCTGGCTAATTTTTTTTTGTATTTTTATTTTCATCGTGTTAGCCAAGCTGGTCTTGAACTCCTGACCTCAGGTGATCCACCTGCCTCGGACTCCCAAGGTGCTGGGATTACAGGTGTAAGCCACCGTGCTGGCCATGCCTTGAAGTTCTCTAAGCTCTCTTTGGTTGTCAGGGACTGGCTGATGCTAGCAGGAACATCAAAGCAGGAGGCCACCCAGATTAGACAAGGAACTATGGGAACCCTAGTCCTTGCTTCTCTTCTTTGGGACTCTTGTCCCCTCTACAGCCTGGAGTTGACCAGAGGACCTCTGGGACTCATACATTTAGTGTCATCTCACATCTCTATGGATGGCCTCTGTTTCAGAATTCCTCCCAGTGACTGCCATGGCACATGATTTGGGATGTCTTGCTCAGATTTTAAAATAGACAAGTTCTGGAATATAGGATACCTACAGTCTATACCAAGCTTCAGATTTGAGCAACTCCTGCCTTCTGTACATCCATTCTTACCAGCATGTTCCAATGATGTTGCCACCTCTATCTGTAGTACCCAGGGGCGATAGAGGTGGTGGCAGGCATTACTTACTCTGTGCCCCCCACACCCACATGGCAACAAAGGTGGACACGTCACCCTCTCCTCAGCCTGCAGCACAAATGTTGTGTCTATCCCCACTGAAGCTTTTTGAGACTGTTGCTCCCCATCCCTAACAAAACCTTATTAATGTCTTCTCTTACTTCCAATCACAGTGATGTTATCTCCTGCAGGTCTTAAGTCATGCCAGATGAAGGACAAACATTTCTTACATCTGGGACTGCTCTTTATAGCACCTCAGCTATTCTTTCGCTGGTGGCAGTGTAGGGAAGACAGGAGTGAGGTCATCATTGACAAAGATCACACTCTAGGAATGTTGTGATTGCCACCTAAAGAGTTGGAGAGAAGATATGGTTGGAGGATGCGTTGTTCTATGTTTACTCTACAAGCTCTTGAAAGATAAATTTAGCATGTCCAGAAAATGAATGACATATGTTTCACATTTTCCTGCACAATCTGAGTGAGCCTTGCATTTATGGTAATTACCAAGGAAGCACAGTGTCAACCTTCAGAGAATCGTGGGAAGTCAGTATTTATAGGTGGAATGATGAATGGTGCAGCATCATGAGTGATGATGTAACCAGCATTAAATAGATGGCATCAGGAAATTACAGAGGCAAAAAGATCTCTAATGTTTCGAAGTAAACAGAGCCATGACATTGTGAGTAACAACAACTTTGCTACCTCTTTCTCCTGGTAAGAAATGAAAGTAACCAGGAACACTACATTTCATCTGAAGAGATGGTTCATAACAAATATTTGCCTACTGTCTCAGTTTGCACAGGTTGCCCTAACAAAAATATGACACACTGGGTATCCGAAACAACAGAAATTTATTTTCTCACAGATGTGGAAGCTGGAATTCCAAGACCAAGGTGTTGGCATGTTTGGTTTCTCCTAAGGCCTCTCTCCTCTGCTTGCAGATGGCCTTCGGCTGTGTCCTCACCCAGCCTTTCTCTGGGTGTGTATGGGACAGGTGTCTCTGTCTCTTCTTATAAAGATATCTGTCTTACTGGATTAGGGCCTCATCCTACTGACTCATTTAATCTTAATCACCTCTTTAAAAGTTCTATCTCCAAAGGCAGCCACACTGGAGGTTAGGTCTTCAAAATATGAATTTTGGAGAACAACAATTCAGTCCATAACACATAAAGCCCTACACAACCTAAGGATAGCTCTATTAAAAATGTTCCTTTTATAACACCTCAAAACACCTCACTGCTACCTATTAATTATAATTTGGCAGCCATGGATATTATTTTAGGGTGTGTCTGAGGAATTAAAAAAAACAGCTTTTTCAAGTTAAAAGTACATGTGAATAACAAGACATATGTTTCTCAAAGCTTAAGATGGTCTCCACCAGCAGTTCAGCAACTAGCAGCACAAAGTATGAGCAAACACTCAAACACAAGCATGAGCTAAAGTAAAACTTAGGGTCAAATGTACCTCTCAAAGTATATGATTGGAGCTAACTTTTTTATTTTAAGTTACAGAAAAAAAAACAGGAGAACTGAAGAGAAATCTTCATCTAATATGTTGTTTAAAATCTGGAAACATATTTTCTGTACTCTTGCATCATTTTTTTTTTCTACCAAGTAACAAATGGATGTGTCTTCTTGCAGGACCAAAAACAAAAAGAAAAGTAAAACACAGAGTTCTCAAAAGCACCATAATCCCTTTAAATTTGTGTTTGAGATGTCATTAGTTAACGTACTGTTCAATGTACTAATAAACCACATAGGCCTGAAAGAATCCATACAACTTGAAATTTGTGGAGATATTTAAGAAAAAGACTTGACTTATCGAAAGCATTATAAAGCATTCTCATTCACAGAAAGGCTTATATTAGGATTGATTCTCAGATCTCAAATTTATCGGACCACCTATCACTAAATAAATACCTTTATCAATAAATTATACTGCAAAGCCTTTGCTGAAAGTGCTGAGATTAATATCATAAAAGATCAAAAAACTTCTTAAGAAAGACATTATAGTTTCATGTACATCTGATGCAAAAAGAAATAAAGCTCTTTAACCTGAATTCTAAATTTCATGTTTGGCATAATTCATAGAAGAAGCATAAATATTTGACAGATTGAGAAGGAGACAATATGGCTTTTATCCAAATAATTTTCTAATAATTTATCTGAAGCAATCATTTACAATGAGGCACACTAACTAGATTAATAAATAGTAAATCTTTAGAACATAAAAAAAGTTATCTCTATATTATCAAATGAATAAATCAAAGTTAAAATTTAAAATGTGAGCATCTACTGCATCTACTATACAGTCCCATTTAATATGGAGCACTCAAGACACTGACAACTGGTTCTGTAAAATTTAAAATAGCACCTATGTTAAGGCTCTGTTTTCACAGATACCTGCTTTCCCCTGCCCTCCATTCCAAAAAAAGATCAAATTTTAAAGAGCACTTTATATTCATGTGGCATCTGTACACAAGTTCTCCAGAGAGAAAGAACCAATAGGATATCATAGGTAAATAAGATAGATAGATAGATAGATAGATAGATAGATAGATAGATAGATAGATAGCTTTTATAATGAATTGGTTCACATGATTATGGAGGCTAAGTCACAAGACTTGTGGTCAAGAAGCTGAAGAACCAGGAGGGTCAATAGTGCAGTTTCTGTCTGAAAGCCAGCAAGGTTGAAACCCAAGCAGAGCTGATTTCAGTTCAAATCCAAAGGAAGGAAAAGACCCAATGTCTCAGCTCAAACGATCAGGCAGAGCTCTCTCTTACTCCCTCATCACTCTTACAGCTAATAATCTAGTTAAAGGCACAAAATCACCTTTGGAAGAATATCATCAAAGGCACGGAAGGAACAAGTCTTTCGACTTAAGCCCCATAACTGTCTGTTAAAAAAAATAAAAAATATTTATTACCATGAAATACTATATTCTTAAAATTATACTTATATTTCAGCAGACCCTATCTCATATCCTGTTTTATATTGATGCAATTTGATCATTCTCCTAAATCTTAAATTTTAATACATATTTCTACTATTGGCAAAGAAAGGAGAAAAATAGTTATTAAATGCTAAATTGATCTTTAATTCATTCAAATTTTTATTGAGCACCTACCTCACACCATTCTTGGTTAGGAGAATCTGTGCTCCTTGTCATCAGATTGTTCTAACTTGTAAGTAGAGCTAGAAATGTAGAGTGTGTGTGTGTGTGTGTGTGTGTGTGTGTGTGTGTGTGCAAACTCACATATTTTCATTATGGTCATTTAATCTAACTTTTAAAACACAGTGCGGGCCAAATAAAAGACACTGGTGATCCAGTTTTTGACCCCAGGCTGTCACTTGTTTCACTTTGTATTATACCATCATTTTTCTCTCCAATTCTGTGCATCCTTTAACTGCCTGGCAACTTTCTCTTATACAATAAAAATTTGAGACTTAAGATCTCAGTCTTCCTCTATGTCTCAAGCATTGCCATCATTCTCGGTGGATCTAACAAGGAAAGGATTTCTTAGTCAATCACTTTAGTAACTTCATTTCTTAACATCTTCAGTTCCAGTGACATAAACTTCATCTTAACTCCAACAGCCACATCCTGGACCTTATTCTTTTTTTTTTTTTTTTTTTTTTTTTGAGACGGAGTCTCGCTCTGTCGCCCAGGCTGGAGTGCAGTGGCGCAATCTCGGCTCACTGCAAGCTCCGCCTCCCGGGTTCACGCCATTCTCCTGCCTCAGCCTCCCAAGTAGCTGGGACTACAGGCGCCCGCCACTACGCCCGGCTAATTTTTTGTATTTTTAGTAGAGACGGGGTTTCACCGTTTTAGCCGGGATGGTCTCGATCTCCTGACCTCGTGATCCGCCCGCCTCAGCCTCCCAAAGTGCTGGGATTACAGGCGTGAGCCACCGCGCCCGGCCGACCTTATTCTTAATCTGGTTCACTCACTCAATACTGACCCACCATAGACTTCCTGAATCAAAACATTCATTTCTCCACACACAAACTCTTTCCTCCAGAATCTCTCATATAGCTATGTCCACAGCATTTATTCTTTTACCTTTCTGAGACCACTAGTCCTTAATCCTTTCAAAGGGAGCCTCTCTAATCTTCAGCCTTCACTTCCTGTTCTATTTTCCCTAGACTCCGTGGTCCCCCATATCAACCACTCTCTTGCCAGTGTCTGTAAAACATCTTTTGTTTTTCTTCCATCAGTTTTTCTTAACTAAATGCCAGTACAGGATCAATTCACAAACTCTTATTTTCTCTATGCCTGCACCCAGACTAAGAGACACCTCAAGCAAAAATTACGCAAATTGGCACATTGATATCACAACACATTTTATATCTCCATTGTTGGCAAACTGCTACTTGCTGCTTGATCTTTTTTTCCCCAACTTTACTGAGCTATAGTTGGCAATTTAGAATGTATCTATTTAAGGTTTACAACTTCGTGATTTTTATATACACATATATTATGAAATGTTTGCCACAGTCAAGCAAATGAACATATCACCTCACATAGTTATAATTTTGTGTGTTGAGAACACTTAAGATCTACCCTCTTAGCAAATTTCAAGGATACAATAGTATTAACTATAGTTCACATTGTTATACATTAGCTATCCAGAGCTTATTTAACTAGCATAAGTGAAATTCTGTACCCCTTGACCAACATCTCCCCATATCCTCCTCCCCCCATCCTCTGGCACCACCATTCTACTCTCTGTTTCTATGGGTGTGACATTTTTGGAGTCTACATACAAGTGAGATCATACAATATTTGTCCTTCTGTGTCTGGCTTACTTTACTTAGCATCATGTCCTCAAGGTTCATCTATATTTTTGAAAATGACAAGATTTCCTTCTTTTTTAAGGTTGAATAATATTCCATAGGGGTGTGCGTGTGTGCATGCATGTGCATGCAGGTATATCACATTTATTTACCCATTCATCCATAGTAGACATTAGGTTGTTTCCATATCTTGACTATTATGAATAATGCAGAAATGAGCATGAGAGTGCACATATCTTTAAGATCTTGATTTCTTTTTCCTTTTTAAAATATATACCCAGAAGTGGGATTACTGGATCATAAAGTATTTCTATTTTTAATTCTTTGAGGAACCTTCATACTGCTTTCCAAGAAGATATAATAGGGAAAAGATAGTCTCTTCAATAACAGTGTTGGGAAAACTGGATATTTACCTACAAAGGAATAAAATTGAACCGTATTTCACACTATCTACAAAAATAAACTCAAAATTAATTAAAAACCTGAATGTAATATCTGAAGCTATAAAACTACAAGAAGAAATCAGAGGAAATACTTCTTGATATTGGTCTGGGCAGTGATTGTTTGGGTATGACACCAAAAGCACAAGCAACAAAAGTAAAAATTGACAAATAGAATGGCATAAAACTAAAACTCTTCTGCACAACAAGCAGAATAAAGAGACAACCTGAGGAACACGAGAAAATATTTGCAAACCATGCATCTAATAAGGTATTAATATCCATAATATGTAAAGAACTCATGCAACTCAATAGCAACAAAATAATAATAACCTAATTTTAAAATAGGCAAAGGACCTGAAGAGACATTTCTTCAAAGAAAATATACAAATGGCCAACAGGTATATGAAAAGGTGCTCAAAATCACTAACCATCAGGGAAGTGCAAATCAAAACCATAATGAGATTTCAGCTCGCTCCTGTGGCTATTATCAAAAAGACAAGAAATAACAAGTGTTGATGAGAGTGTGGGGAAAAGAAAACCCTTATGCACTGTTGGTGCAAATGTAAATTAGACAACCTTTTTCATGTTTCCTTCCTTAGCTTTCTCATTAATTCTGCAAAATATGTACTTGAAATCTCTCCATTATTTTCAAACTCCACCAACTCATCATTCAGCAAATAGCCTTCCCTCCACCTACAAAGAAAAAACTACAAGCTGCAGAAGGAAACCTTCAATTCTTTGCAACTTCACCTATTCTTTTTCCTTTCTTCCTGTCAGAGAGAAGAATCAGATTCCCAAATCTAACGCCTCCCCCAGTGCTCTAGATACACCCACACCTGCCTCCTCAGGAGCCTCCCTCATTATTTATCCTTTTGTTCATTTCCCTATAGTTTTGTTTACTCTTGTTCTATCATTCATTCAAAGAAAATTTAAACATGCTCAGAGTTCTGCTGTGCAAAAATAAAAGGATCCTATATCTCCCTCCACAACTGCCTTTTCTCATTTACTTTCATTTAAAAAATAAGCACATACTACATAACAGCCACAGTCTTTGAAAACGTTGTCCACTCTTTTTGTCTCCTACTCCTCTCTTCCCATTTACTTCTCCATCCACTGATGTGCAGTTTCTACCATCACTTCATGTAGTTCTAACTGTTTTGACCAAGATATCCATTCTGGTGAATCCAACAGACACTATGCAGTTCTCATCTTATTTGATGCCTCTAAATCATGTAACACTGTTGAGCACTCCCTCCTATGTGAAATTCTATCTTCCCTTGATATAGACAGTGCCATGCTTTTTAAGGTCTTTGCTGCTTTTTTTTTTCAGATGGGATGGGCAGAGAATGGACATCTTCTGTTCATTGCTTAAAAGTTGATATTCTCATAACTTCTTCTCATAACTTCTGTTTTTAGTCTACAAACTCTCTCCCTAATAACCTCATTTATTCCCATGGCCTTAATTACTACTACTAGTTCAGTGTACTCCTGAGTTTCAGAAAAGTATATATAATTGCAAGGACATTAATCTGCTTAAATATCTCAACCACCACTTATGCAAAAATGAACCAATAATTGCTGCCACAAATGTTTTCCTCCTCTGTGTTTCCTATCTCCATGAAAAGCAGCAAAATTCTGCCAGCTAAATAGCCACACTTCCATGTTTTCCATCCTAGTAAAAAGCAGCAAAATCCTGCTAACTGTAACCCTCCAGTGTTTTCTATCACCAGATAAAGTCACAAAATTCCTGCTAGCTGATCAAGCAAAAACCAATTTAACTCTTCTTCCTCTTCTAGTTGATTCCACCTCCTCAAAATTTGGCAAAGCTTACGCTTCATCAATCTTTGCTGCTATTTCCTTCTAAATTCGAAATGTCATTATCCCCTTGTGTGATCACTCTAACAGCCTCCTATATGATCTCCTCACTCCATCTGCCACCACTCTCATCACCTCTGATTCCATTTTCACATGACAGCCTGAGTGACCTTTCAAAAGCTTAGGCACACTTATGTCACTCTCTGGTTTAAAATCTCTCAGCAGCTTATCATTGGTCTCTGAATAAAGTTAAAAGTCCTAGAAGGGCTTGAAAGATCTGGAGAATTTACACAGGCAAATGTGTTTCCAATTGCAAGCTTGCCAGTGGTTTTTAAGAGATATTTAAGGACATAAAATTCTAAGCTCTATTATCTGCCCCCAAATAATTATAATAATAATACTTAATACTTATATAGCACATCTATTTTTAAAGCACTTTCATATATATTATTTAATTCGTGGCTTTCAAAAGCCCATTTTTGGGATAAGAAAATTGAGAACTCAAGGTTAAGTGGTTTACACAAGGTCAATTATCTGCTAAGTGACATGATTGGTACTCAAATTCTAGTAAAATTAAGTCACTTTATAGAAGAGACTGATATAAAAAAAAATTTTTTTAGAGTTTCACTAAGCAAATTGTTTGGAATGAGATTAAAGCCAGAGTCATCTTATGTTGAATTTTGATAGATGATAGATAGATATAGATGAGTTTTTATAAAAAGATCCCAGTGCAGAAGCAAAATAACTGTTTAAAAACAAGTATCGGATATTTAGAGGAAATATTATTTCTAGGAGAGGACACAGTATTTTTTAGCTTCACTTTATTTTGTCGAAGACTAGCTCTGGCACTAAACTTGATGCATACAAAAGATGTCAGAAAATATAAAGATTTAACTATTTGCAGCTTTGTCATTTTATTTATTTCAACACTAGAACTGACTTTCAGAATGAAAAAATAAAAATAAAAAAGAAGTTCCTGCCATAAAATTAATCACTTGTCAATAAATAAAAAGTAAAATGTGTGTTGGACTGAAGTGAAGGTTGACTAAAGAGTAGCTGAATAGATAAAGGAGATTCAACATTGTCATCAGAAGATATGAGCACCATACCACAAGGGGAACTTGGGGAACTCTGCCAAGAACAGAATGAATGCCCACTGCCAACACAAACTGACAGAGGGAGCCATGGGAGCCAGTGTGAAATAAAAGACAGAACAGAGTTAATTCAGGTCAACCAGGCCTAATGAAAGACCAGATAAGAGAAGAGATAGAAGCCAACCAAGTGGAAATGCCTGTCTAGATAACAGCTAATGAAAGAACCCACCAAAATTAACTATGAACAAAAGATTGTTCTTATAGCCAACCCTCCAAGTGATTGAAATGCAAATGCTTTCATGAAAGCAGTCTTCTCCAAGTAAAGAGAAAATCTTAAATGAAACTTTTTTTTTCTTTTTTTTAGAAAGAGTCTCTTCTCTGTCGCCCAGGCTGGAGGTGCGATGGCACGATCTCAGCTCACTGCAACCTCCGCCTCCCGGATTTAAGCGATTCTCCTGCCTCAGCCTCCTGAGTAGCTGGGATTACCGGTGTGTGGCACCACGCCAGGCTAATTTTTGTATTTTTAGTACAGATGGAGTTTCACAATGTTAGTCAGGCTGGTCTCGAACTCCTGACCTCGTCATCCTCCTGCCTCAGCCTCCCAAAGTGCTAGGATGACAGGCATGAGCCACCGCGCAAAACCGAAACTTTTAACATCACGTTTTGAGACAAAAATGATTCTGAAAGACATTTTGGCTTAAGAAGAAATCACTTTATATTCCATTAGTTCCCTGAATTTAGCAAAAACCTTTGAGAAGAAAAAGGTCACAGTGATAATTGCTACTGTTTTCCCAATAATTAAATAAAAACAAAAATAATAATAAAAATTAAAACAAACAAAATCTTCCGGGGATGAAAAATCACAGTGTGACTATATGACCATCCAGAACCAGATTCCTCAATGAAGAGAGGTGTGGTTAAAGGAGCAATCCAAAAACCACTCAATTTTGAGAGAAAGGTTTTATGCCCAGTTTAAAATAATAAAATAAATGAAACTAAAGGGTAAAATAAATTTTTGGAAAGCCCTTTTTTTATTTCATGGCCACTGGAATAGACAGAGTTATTCTTATTTTGCTAAATATTTTATCGTGAAAAGACTAGGAAATATATCAAACATTACTAGCTTTGGTAACCAAGGTTTTCCTTTACAGCAAAAGATTAAGAAAAGTACTAAGTTGGCACAAAAGTAATTGCAGTTTTTGCCATTACTTTTGTGCCAGCCTAATAATAAGTAAAAATTAATTGACTAACAAAAATCGTAACAGACACCAAAAAAAGTTTCTCCTGAGACTAACTAAAGAAACATTCACATCTTCATGCTGCCAGGAAGACAAACTGCCATACAACCAGAGGCTAACTTGGGATTGCATGCATTTACTAGCTTTGAATGATGATAGAGATAAACTCTTTAATTCTGCTTTGAAATCCTGTGAACCCTATAACTTCATTCACAGATATGTGGAGAAAAGAATATTGCTTTCTTTTCTATTAGTTTACCTTGCAAAATTTCACCAGTCAGGTTATACTTGCCCAAACCTCTAAGTTTGCTATTATATATGACCAGAAACTAAAAGCTACTTTTGGTAAGAGCGAAAAATGAGTCACTCTTGGATACCATTGGTGAGACTCCAAACTAGCTACAAACTTTTATAGTATAATTTGGCAAAATCACCAGAATTTAAACTGTACCTGCCCTTTGACTCAGCAATTCAACTTTGGTGAATTTATTGTATGTATATACTTGCTGAAGATATAAGCCTGGGTATTTGGAGCCACATGATTCATACTAGCAAAAAAAATGTCCATCAATAAAGAGGCTGATTAAATAGATTATTACCCATTCGTACAATAGAATTTGCACACATTGAAAAGATTGAGGTAGATCTGTATTCGTTGCTAAGGAAAGATCTCCAAGGTGAACTAAGATGAAAAAAATCAAGTGTAATATACTGTTAATGTATCCTTCCCTTCATGAACAATTTTGAAAACATTTTCCTATGGATATATAAGGATGTATTCATATATGGATATATTCAGGTATACAATGTTTTTGTAGATTTATACACCAAGATTTCAAACATAGTAAACTTTGGGTTTAGGACCTGAATGGAAATGGGAGGGTACGTTTTTAATTTTCATCTTACATCTACTATACCATCTAAATTTTATTATCATGCACATATACAACATCTTCCAAAGTTTCTATGGGATTTATCCTAGAAGCTGGCATTTGAGACCACTTTTATTTGTCTTTTTCCGATAAAATATAGTTTCAATGCAGCAAAAACTGTCAAATATGAAATAAACAGGGTCAAATTAGTCATGGTAGGTTGTCTTTGCTCAAAACTAAGCATAAACAAATGCTTATATCTAATCTATATCATATCCACAGCAATGGCTGATATGATCTTATTCTCTCCCTCATTCCAGAATAAGCATGTTCGATAGGGCACTAGTGTTTAATTAAGCACAATTTTCAAAGGCTGGATCAGGCCCCACTAGACATATAAATGCAATATACTTAGTACCATAAAGTTTGCTAATAATGCGCATTCATAAGGTAAAAGCCTTTTAATATCAGGGTATTAGGTTAGCTGGAATCCAATTTATGAAAAAAACCTTCTATATGTGCTCATTGGTAAGCAATAATGCATTTCAATTCCATGCCGGCACAAAACCTCTCAGGTTCCCTTATGCTCTTTTAAATAAGAATCATAGAACATTAATAGAAGTGCTCTCCTAGGTCTCTATTCAAATGTTCTTTGATTTATAGATTTCATTAACAAAGATCAAGCAAATTTCCTTTTGCTAGTATTCCAGAGTGAGACAAAGCTGCTAACACTTGTTTTGTGAAAACTTGCATTATGGCATTTTAAAACTACTTTGTTTTAGGGCTTTGTCAAACTCAGACATGATCTCTTTTCAGGGTTAGGCCTATTTTGATCACTTTTAATAAGTAATAGATGGATGTTTTAACATACCAGGAGACAGAAACAGTCAAAGAAATATTCTACTCTTTCCTGTATTTCTTCCCTGAGGGCAATGCTTTAAAAAAAATCAATTGTGATATATGTCACATTGCATTTCAGCCCTCTGCTGAAGAGGGAAAATTCTGAGGAGCTGGGACCCCTCCAGTCCTAACTCTGAGCTGGCATGGCCCACACTGGTCATAGGGTGCAGACACAGAGAGGACTGCCTACAACTAGGGACTTCTTCAAAGGCAAGAGATATTCTGACCACTGTTTTGCACACTTTGAAGTAGAACTAGGAGTGGTGGTAATAGCCAATCATAACTCATTTCCTCTCTGAGGCTGGTTCAAGGGGCATGTCTTTCTCTTTTCCAAAAATGATGTTAAACAGCAACCAAGCCTAATTTCCCCCAGAACATTTCTCACATAAATTTTACAAGCATTGTATTTTCTGTCTGTTATGTTTTGTTTCCTGGTAAAAGTGCACACAGATAACAGCTTGATTGTGACACGTGCTTGTGAACAATAAATATTTATTATCACAACACTTCTTTGTTCCCAGCTTGGTGAGTCTGGAGAGATTTTAGGCAAATTAAGGGCAATTTGAGCCTGGATCTCTCAAAACAGTGCTAAGTAGAATTACTGAAGAGATACTTCTCATTTATACCAGAACAAAAATTCTTATTTTCACACATATATCAACATTTGCTTAATTCATGCTCACCAGATAATAGTACACCATGTTAAAGAAAATCTGTAGCTATAGAACTACATGTTGAATGGAAAGCGATTTATTTTGAAGTCCTGAAACTGATGACTAAGACGGAATGTTATGCATCTCAGAGCACCTTGCATTTTAGTAACATGTAAAAATATTTTTAATTAGTATGAGTATCATTTATCAGCATTGTCTACTCACAAAGTATTTAGACACACAGCTATCTACACACAAAGTATTTTGCACATGTTTAAAAATAGCCTTGTGGCCTTAATTCTTATTAATATGAACTCTATATAGTTTATAGAGTTTATATTGTTTATGTATAATTTATATTGTTTATTCACAAATACTCTATCTCATGAGATTGCCATAAGAATAAGGCATATACTGTTGTATTTCCATTGTGGAAATTTCAGAAATACAGACTCAAAAAGATAGAGTTCTCAGAATCACACAAGAGGTTCAAAACTTGAGCCTTTCTGTCTCCAAATCCTAAGCCTTTCTGTAATACCTTACTTACCTGCAATTTAGTAAGACATTATATTAAAAATATTTTGGTTCATATGCTCTATGTACATCGAGCTATAGGATACAATGCCAGTCTTCAAATAGCACACTAGTCAGTCAGCTAACAAATACATATTGAGTGCCCACTACATGCCAAACACTGTTTTAGGCTATAACAGTGAAGATAAATAATCCCTCTTCTTACTGAGCTGATATTCTAGGAAGATAGGATCAAAAATAGAACACATTAAGACAATTTTAGGTACTGTTAATTGCTGGGAAGATGTCTTAGTATAATGTCATAGAAAGTGGCCACTGTGGGACTCTGTTTTAGATAGGGAGGTCAGGGAAGGGCTCTTTGAAGAAAATGGCATGTGAGTTGATACCCAATTGAAGAGAAGAAAGGAGTCATGCTTTGATCTGGGGAAAAGATGGATCCAAGCAAAAGGATAGCAAGTGCAAAAGTTCAGATCTGTGTGTATCCAAAGTAATGGAGGCCTAGTGTGAAAGGGGAGCGTATAAACAGATGAGGTTGGAGAGATGGACAGGGGCCCATCACATAGGCCCTAAAACTTTAGCCTAACAAACCAAGATTTATTTCTTACGCATGTCACATTCCAATAAGAATTGTCTGGGGTGAGAGGTTTGCTCCAGGAAGGCAATGAAGACCCCACCATCCTTTCATCTTGTGGGAATATCATGTTTAATATACGCTCTCCAATTCTGCCACACAATAGGAAAGAGACAGGAGGATCCTAGCTGGGAGAGTTTTATGAGACAGGCCTGGAAGTGATGTCCACTACTTCTGCTTACATTCCATTGCCCAAACTTGGTCCACATGAAAGATGAGGAGGATGGGAAATGTAATTTAGCTGTGTGCCCATGAAGAAGATAAAAAAAAAAAAAAAAACAGGATATTGGTAAGTGTTAGCATTCTTTGGTGCAGGCTTCATATAATAATTTTTAAAATGATCTTTCATGTACAGTGAGAAGCCACTGGACATTTTAAGCAGAAGAGCAACACAATCTGATTGTTATTCTGAAGGATCACTTGCCTGTTGTGTGGAAGCTAAGCTATTATGAGCATTCAGTCAAAGAGACTAGTCAGGAGGCTAATGCAGAACTCAGGGTAAAATTTTAGTTGTTCAATTAGATTGTAACAAGGTAAATTAAGAAAAATTGTCAGATTTTGAATACAGTTATTTGTGGGCACAGGTAGAGTTTACTGACATATTGGTTGCAAGAATGAGAGAAGTGTCAAAATGACTTATTTTTTCCCTTTTTTTTTTTTGATTGAGCAATTGGTGTAATTTATTGAGATATAGTGGCTTAGAGGAAATTAGATTTGGGGTTGGGGTAGGAGAGACCAGAGAGTCTCTACTTCTATTTGAACACACTAAACTTGAAATACCTATTAGACCTTCAAGTGAAGATATCAAATAAGAAGTTGGATGTGTGAATCTGGAGCTCAGGAGAGTAATTCAGTTCGGAGATACAAATTGGTGGTCATTCATTGAATTGATGGAATATAAAAATTCAGAAATGTCATTTTATAATATTTGCAAGGAACTAGAGAAACAATGTTTAAACATATATATTTTACTGAATATGTATAAAATATAAAAAAATTAAGATAAACATTACTTTCAAGAAAAACTATTTGTTGGAAAAATACAGATTAATAAAACCATACTATGAATTTACATCACAATATGGGTATAATTTCTTGTTTGCAAATAATATAAACATAGTGCTTTTGGCTATAATAATAAGAAAAAATAGCTTTTGTGTAAATCTTCTTAAATAGGGATAGATGGCACTATATAAGCATATCATATATTTTCTGATTTTAGCTCTTAGAAAAAATAAAAGCCATGGCTCAAAATTTAAAGTGATATATAGGAAATCAAGCTTCTTGATATTGCCACTAAAGCCTAGAAATATTAGACACCAATAGAACTAAACCCAATCACATTCAAAAGAAATAGTTGACCTTCAAAAAGTTTATTCCAATTGGGAAAACTTATTATGAAAGTGTTCCACTAAATGAAATGTAACACATTTTATTTTTAGTTCATAAAAGCCTACTTATATATTTCTAAATTTTTAATTCAGTGCATGAAAATAACTTTAAAAGCTTCAGTAGCTGAAATTTTTTAAAAATTGCATCAAAATATTTTAAGAGTATCTTTTCATCTTGAACTCAGTATAGCAGGAAAATGTTCACTATCTCATGGGTGGCTTTTGCAATGCCAAAATTGGTTCTTCCCTAGTATATTTTACTTCATCTTACTACCAGTTTTCACATGAATTCTTTGAGGGATGGAGTGATTTTGCTTCTGTTTTTTCACTGGGAATTACTTAATCCTAAATCTTGTGGAAAGATAAGGCAAAGAAAACCAAGAGAACTCATTGAAATAGAAAAAGAAGGCTTAGTTATGTTTTAGATATCATAGCTTTTTTTTGTAAGGGACTAAACAGTTCATTTTACCTGTGTTAACTGATCAACCAAGCAGCCAGTCACGTATCTGACTTTAATGATTTGTCTTGAAGACACAAGTTTTTTAAGTAATTAGTTGCTCAATATAATCACCATTTAAAAGAAGAAAAAAGCATTACCAAAACTTTAGGCAAAAATAAAAAGAAAGTGAAAATAACATAAACTTCACCAATATTAAAGAGGAGTTATTGAAAATTATAAAACTCTTCCTATGAAGTTGAAATTGTGTTATTAATAGCTTCTAATAATCTTCTTCTCTGAGTGTAAATACATTGTCTTTAATTAAAATCCCAGTGAGGGGCCTTTATAGCATGACTTAACTCTTCCCCAGTGACTATTTTTAAAAGTGCGTATTTGGAGTGGATAAAAGAGCTCTGGATCACACAAATATCAAGATCTTCCACACTCCCCACAAGAGAGCATATAGACAAATGCTGCCTGGAGCACCATAAGAGCAATTTAATCAAGGTCAGTCTCTTATACAAAATGCTTACAAGTTCATCCCAACATTTCCTTAACCAAGAAAAAATAGATTTATTACATTGTAACATTATATTGCACTCACCCCTCAGAAGCAAACCAAATCCCCACAAATGAGAAACAGTTTTAAGGACACAATCCTTAACATGGTATTCAAGGCCCTCCTTGATATATTCCACAAACCCCAACATATCCCCCAAAAATCTTACATGTGCACTTTCTATCAGTCAAACCTCACTCGATTCCCCAACCCATGGCTTTGTCTGCCGTCTTATTCCACCGTATCTGTATTTTCCAAATAGTACACATACCAAGGGCTATTTCATAAGATACATCTTCCTAACAAATGTCAATGATCTTCTTCTGTTTTGATTTGGGCAAGCACCCAGATACACACACCCACATACACACACACACACACACACACACACACACACTCACTCTACACCCTTCAGATTTCCACCACACTGCTACACCTCCACAGAGCACTTATCACATTCTGATGTAGTATTTTGAGTTCATTTTACCCATTTTAAGTAGGCAAAAAGCCTACTTAGAAGTATAGCACAAGAACTCACTCAAAAGAGTAAGTAGTAGTGAAGCAGATACTGGAGTAGGGGTCAGAAGACTACTTTGAAACCCACTTAGCAGAAGCTTAACTTCTCTCTCTCTATTTCTCTCCCTCACTCTCCCTCCCTCTCTTTTTCTCTCTCAACTTGCTTTTATTGATCTGTAAAACCAGTGTATCAGAAATTACTTTGTAGTAGGATTATGAGGCTTAAATTGGTAATATATGAGAATCCTACGATATGAAGCAGATAGAAGCATAAAGCATTATTATTATTATTATATACTACTTACAATGTACCTCTTATACAGCAAATGTTCAAAAGTCATTTTTATATTCCTATCACATTGAAAAAAGAAAGACATGAAATATTGTGAAACAATAGTAAATTTACAGTAAGTCCAGGTCCAATTGGAAATCAGGCAAATAAATCAAAGGTCTCAAAAATATATGAGTTTGTTGATGTCAATAAAATAAATGTTCTCTCATCCACCCTTCCATTCTATTTGGTTGTCACAATAGCACAAAAGGACACCTGAGGGTTAGAAAATGTAAGAAATAATTCTGATGTGGATCAAGGCTCAACCGCCTAGAAATGAAGATGGTGTGTTCCCTTGACTGCTCTGCAGCGCACTTGCTACTAATCAGGAGGTTCTATTCCCGCCAAAAGGGTTAGGATAGATTGAAAACATGATTTATGATAGAGGCAAAAATATAGATAACAAAGGTAAATGTGTCGTTTGAATGCTATTTTTTTAAGAAAAGAAACTGAAGAAAATGTGAACTCAGAAAAAGAATGTTTTCATAGAGCAAATTATTTTACATACCAACTGTATGAAGAGTCAGCCCTCTGTATCCATGGGTTCTACATCCATGGATTCCACAAACCATGGATCAAAAATATTTGGGAAAAAATAAAAAATAACAGAACAACAATAAAAATACAAATTTTAAAAACAATACAGTATAACAACTATTCATGTAACATTTACAGTATACTAGGTATTATAAGTAACCTAGAAATGATTTAAAGTACACAGGAGGATGTGTAGGTACATACTGCAAATATTACATAAGGGACTTGAGCATCTGTAGATTCTAGTATTTGCAAAGGATCCTAAACCAATCCCCACAGATTATCAGAGATGACGATACTGTATCATAGCGTAAAATAATAATTGATATTTATAATAAAGATTCTAAGTTATTAATAGTTGTATGTTCTATATTCTTTAATTAGGTGGAGATGCTTATAGTACTTCATAAAAATATTTCATACAAAATTATACAAAAATGAAGTTTCAGTGCTTTCATTATCTAGAAAATTTACTCTTGTGAAAAGAATTATTTGCAGCAATATCAGATAAATGAAACATTGAGCTAATTAAGCAAAATATTTTGTATAATTTCTGTCTAACTATTTAAGGAAAGTGCTTAAAGAGTACTTTAAACAAGATTTCAAGAAGCTGTTAGTGCCTGCATTCTCCTTGGAATAGTTAGGAATAAGCAAAAGAGAAGATGAGACTCCAGGACAAATGAACACCATTATTAAAGATGTGGAGGAATGGACATATGAGGCCTGTTCATAAAAACATAGAGACCAACGTGGGGAATAATAATTAAGAGTAAATAAGGTGCCCAGAATGTAAAGAGAGGCTTAAAAGTCATGCCGAGAAATGTAGTTGTAACAGAAAGTGAGATAGAGCCATTGAAAGCTTCTGATCTAGCAGCAATCTTATGAAAGCATTATTTAAATAACACTTTGTTGTTTTTTTTTAATTCTTTTTTTTATTATACTTTAAGTTTTAGGGTACAGGTGCACAACGTGCAGGTTTGTTACATATGTATACATGTGGCATGTTGGCGTGCTGCACCAATCAACTCGTCATTTAACATTAGATACATCTCCTAATGCTATCCCCCTCCCCTCTCCCCCCACCACACAACAGGCCCTGGTGTGTGATGTTCCCCTTCCTGTGTCCATGTGTTCTCATTGTTCAATTCCCACCTATGAGTGAGAATATGCGGTGTTTGGTTTTTTCTCCTTGCAATAGTTTGCTGAGAATGATAGTTTCCAGCTTCATCCATGTCCCTACAAAGGACACGAACTCATCCTTTTTTATGGCTGCATAGTATTCCATGGTGTATATGTGCCACATTTTCTTTATCCAGTCTATCATTGTTGGACATTTGGCTTGGTTCCAAGTCTTTGCTATTGTGAATAGTGCCACAATAAACATAAGTGTGCATGTGTCTTTATAGCAGCATGATTTATAATCCTTTGGGTATATACCCAGTAATGGGATGGCTGGGTCAAATGGTATTTCTAGTTCAAGATCCCTGAGGAATCACCACACTGACTTCCACAATGGTTGAACTAGTTTACAGTCCCACCAACAGTGTAAAAGTGTCCCTATTTCTCCACATCTTCTCCAGCACCTGTTGTTTCCTGACTTTTTAATGATTGCCATTCTAACTGGTGTGAGATGGTATCTCCTTGTGGTTTTGATTTGCATTTCTCTAATGGCCAGGGATGATGAGCATTTTTTCATGTGTCTGTTGGCTGCATAAATGTCTTCTTTTGAGAAGTGTCTGTTCATATCCTTCGCCCACTTTTTGATGGGGCTATTTGTTTTTTTCTTGTAGATTTGTTTGAGTTCATTGTAGATTCTGAATATTAGCCCTTTGTCAGATGAGTAGATTGCAAAAATGTTCTCCCATTCTGTAGGTTGCCTGTTCATTCTGATTGTAGTTTCTTTTGCTATGCAGAAGCTCTTCAGTTTAATTAGATCTCATTTGTCAATTTTGGCTTTTGTTGCCATTGCTTTTGGTGTTTTAGACATGAAGTCCTTGCCCATGCCTATGTCTTCAATGGTATTGCCTAGGTTTTCTTCTAGGGTTTTTATGGTTTTAGGTCTGACATGTAAGTCTTTAATCCATCTCGAATTAATTTTTGTGTAAGGTGTAAGGAAGGGATCCAGTTTCAGCTTTCTACATATGGCTAGCCAGTTTTCCCAGCACCATTTATTAAATAGGGAATTCTTTCCCCATTGCTTATTTTTGTCAGATTTGTCAAAGATCAGATGGTTGTAGATATGCAGCATTATTTCTGAGGGCTCTGTTCTGTTCCATTGTTCTATATCTCTGTTTTGGTACCAGTACCATGCTGTTTTGGTTACTGTAGCCTTATAGTATAGTTTGAACTCAGGTAGCATACCTCCAGCTTTGTTCTTTTGGCTTAGGATTGACTTGGTGATGTGGGCTCTTTTTTGGTTCCATATGAACTTTAAAGTAGTCTTTTCCAATCCTGTGAAAAAAGTCATTGGTAGCTTGATGGGGATGGCATTGAATCTATAAATTACCTTGGGCAGTATGGCCATTTTCATGATATTGATTCTTCCTACCCATGAGCATGGAATGTTCTTCTATTTGTTTGTATCCTCTTTTATTTCCTTGAGCAGTGGTTTGTAGTTCTCCTTGAAGAGGTCCTTCACATCCCTTGTAAGTTGGATTCCTAGGTATTTTATTCTCTTTGAAGCAATTGTGAATGGGAGTTCACTCATGATTTGGTTCTGTTTGTCTGTTATTGGTGTATAAGAATGCTTGTGATTTTTACACATTGATTTTGTATCCTGAGACTTTGCTGAATTTGCCTATCAGCTTTAGGAGATTTTGGGCTGAGATGATGGGGTTTTAAGAAGAGACTGAATTAGTGAGACTGAAGATAAGGAAGCCAGTGAGCAAGTTCTTGGTGTCACCCAGTAATTAAGTTCTGGGATATTATTGGAAAATGATCCTTCCTTATTTAAATATTCACCAATACATGAAGCAATCTTATGAAAAGAGTTATCATGTAGACAGTACACAACTGTGAAAGAAAAATATCTTGGGCCCTGAAAATCACTAAGCTAAATAGAAAACTCAAGCTGGAAACTGCTCAGGGAAAACCTGCCTCCCATTCTATTCAAAGTCATCCCTCTGCTCACTGAGATAGATGCACATTCTGTTTGCCTCCTTTGGAAAGTCTTATCAGAAACTCAGAAGAATGTAACCATTTGTCTCTTACCCACCTGTGACCTGGAAGGTCTCTCCTTGCTTAGAGTTGTCCCTGCCTTTCTGGATGGAACCAGTTTACTTCTTACATATGTTGATTGATATCTAATGTCTCCCTAAAATGTATAAAACCAAGCTATGCCCTGACCACCTTGGGCACAAGTTGTCAGGACTTCTTGAGACTGTGTCATGGGTGCACGTCCTCAACCTCAGCGAAATAAACTTTCTAAATTAACTGAGACCTGTCTCAAATTTTCAGAGTTCACACAACATATATGAAGACACAAAAGTTAATTAGTATTGCTTCAATGTCTCCAGCCCTTTACTTTCTTGCCTACCAAAGAAAATTCTAGCTTAGCCCATTCTGTCCTTCCCATCATGCTCTATTTGGGGGATTCAGAAGGGTTCTTTGGAAGCTTTTCATTTGAATAAATCAACAGAAGAGTCAGAAGTCTGCAGCTAGGGAAGAGGTTTTCAGGGGATTCTGGAAAATGTAGAAAGCATAAAGTATGGGAATATCAAAGCAAACATTTTACTGGACAATGTTAAACAGGCAACAAAAACTTTATTCAAGACTATTGCAATACAGCCATTTTGGAGAATAGTACAGTGGTTCCTCAAAAAACTAAAAATAGAATTACTATATCATCTAGCAATACCACTGCTGGGTATACACAAAAGGAAATGAACTCTGTTGAAGGGAAGTCTGCACTCCCATGTTCACTGCAGCATTATTCACAATATCCAAGTTGTGGAAACAACCTAATAGTTCACTAATGGATAATCAATTTTTAAAATATGTCATATATACACAACAAAATACTGTTTAGCCTTAAAAGAAAAAAAAAACAGGAAATTCTATCATTTGTGATATGGAAGAAACTTGAGGACATTTAGTTGAAATAAGCCAGGCACAGAAAGACTAATGCCATATGATCTCACTTATATGTGGGATCTAAACAGGTTGGACTCACAGAGGTAAAGTGTAGAATGGTGGCTCCTAGAGGCTGGGAGTTGAGGGGAGGAAGATCGGGAAAGGGGAGATGTTGTTGAATGGGTACAAAGTTACAGTTAGAAGGAATAAGTTCTGGATGTTCTATTTCACAGCAAGGTGACTACAGTTAATATATTGTACATTTTAAAATAGCTTAAAGTGAAGATTTTAGATATTCTCATCACAAATAAACAATAAATATTTGAGGTGATGGATATGCTAATTACTCTGATTTGATCATTCCACAATGTAACATGTGAACAACACTTTTTTTGTTTTGTTTTTGTTTTTGTTATGGAGTTTCACTCTTGTTGCCCAGGCTGGAGTGCAATGGCGCAATCTTGGCTCACTGCAACCTCCGCCTCCTGGGTTCAAACAATTCTGCCTCAGCCTCCCAAGTAGCTGGGATTACAGGGGTGTGCCACCATGCCCAGCTAATTTTTCTATTTTTAGTAGAGATGCAGTTTCACCATGTTGGCCAGGTTGGTCGTGAACTCCTGGCCTCAGGTAATCCACCCATTTCAGCCTCCCACAGTGCTGGGATTACAGGCATGAGCCACCACATCCAGCCTGTAAACAACACTTTGTAGCCCATAAATATATACAATTATTGTTTGTCAATTAAAAATAAAGCTTTACAAAAAGAATATTGCAATAGGAGAAGGAGGCCTGAACTCAGTGTAAATGCAATTCTTCTGAAACAAACACCTGGGAAGTTTTTAAGAGCTGAGACAGAAGGGTCTTAGACCATCTGTGTTTGCTAGTTGGTTTTACCCAAAGAGAGAGTCAACATTCTCATACCTTCATGACAGGAGATAGTTTTACAACTGGAAGCAAGGTGCCCACCAAAGTTAGGTTCCTACTCTCCCACAGAAACTGGGATACAGAAGGTCTAACTTCCTTGACAATTACATATCAAAGAGATGGCTGTAGATCTTTGAGAAAGACAATCCTGGGTGGTAAAACTGGCAGAAGGCTTTTAAAAAAGTTTTGCATCACAAAGGAGCAGTGAAACATTTATAATTACAAGTTTTCTAAAGTGAATGTTTTACCTTAGAAAGGGAGATCAGGGGTCTAGAGGTCGGTCGGAAGCAGCCTATTTAAACGTTTGGGGGAGCTGAAGGAAACACTAAGGCTATCTTGGTCAAATGCAATTGCTTTGAATAAAAAAAGTGAAAAAAAATAATTTAAGAGTTATTACTGGCATAAACAAAAGTAGTGCTATTCATAATGTTTGAGAAATACAAGTGGAAAACTTGAGTTTTTATTGTAAAGGAAAATTTTTAAATCCCAGGGTATCCAAACTCTTTATGTAAAAGGGAAGTTTAAGCTTGAAGGCTGAGTCTCCCTCTTCCAGATGACTAGCTATGACAACATTATGCATCAGCCCAAGTAAAAGGCCTCAGGCATCTATGAAGGGCCACCCCCACAGATCATTTCTAAGTAAATTCTCCCATAAACAAGGACATCCCAATTGTAATTTTAGGTCTACAATCTAAGTCTAGCTCCTAAAACTATAGTCTGTTCAATTCCACACTGAAAACGTCCACTACAAGCTTATCTTCCCAGGTGCAGAAAAACACAAGATGAGATTGTCTTTGTTCCTCTACCTAACTGATTTTTCCTTTACTGCCTTTTTTCTCTTTATTTACCTTATCTTACATAAAATGGTAGTCTCACAAAAATGTAACCATTTGCCTTACTGCCTACCTGTTCCTCTTCCTACCTACCTGTTCCTCTTCCTGCAGGTCTCCTTCCACCCACTTTAATGAAATAGATAAATACTAAACCTCCTGAAAAGCTCCTTGGAATGACAGCCACAGATATGGCTTATGATTTTCCCAGATGTGCCCTAAAACTGGCTTAGTAAACCTCGAATGATTGAGATTTTTGTCTCTGTTATTCATTTCAGTTACCATTATGAAATTATTTTTTGGTTATAGTTTTTCTATTACAATACTACATGGGGACTAGACTGTAAGCCTTTTTGAGTGTTACACACTAGTATTAAAATACCAACTGCCAGAATAAAAACTAGCACATCCGATTAAACTTCGAGTAGCCTCCCAAAAATGATCCTAACTGAAAATTATTTTCCAAAGAAAGAAAACTATCTTGATCTGAGATATGTTGATAAAAGAAATCAATACATTAGAAAAAGTTTTTCTAGGAATCCAGAAAACAAAATTTAATAAATAGTATTAATATTGTATCCCAATGAAGAAAATATTGAAAATCTTCTTTGTCTGTGGCTATTAAAATAGCTGGTGAGAAGATATCCCATTTAAACTATATCCTCTACCAACCTCTCTGTTTAATGAAGATGTACAATATTATATATTTGCAAGTTCTTAGAAAAGAAGGGAAGATTTTTTTAATTCCAGGTACATAAGGTTACATATGATAAATTGTTTTTTTCTAGCAATGTTGGTTTTACACTCACAATGTTTCATTAAGAGTTTCACATGAGAGACTGAAGACAATCCATAATTGGCATAGCTGTTTTCTTTCTCCAACCCAGTCCACACCACCCTCACACCAACCTATCTGCTTGCATGAATAGACAAAAATGCCAAAAGATCCTCAACTCAGGCCAAATTGCACGAAAAAAAAAGTTACTGAAGCAAGAAAGTACTAAAGATTGTTTCCTCTGAAGCCTTTATGTGACGTCCCTAACCTGCAAAGTCCCCAACCTCTAAACTTCCCATATTCTTGCTCTTACAGTGTCAAGGAAATGGACTGGACTTTTTGCATATGAATGAATGGGTAAGAGTAGGAGGGGCTGTAAAAGGAGGTTCCCTCAAAGTCTCCATTAAATACTCATTAAAGTCCTCCTCTGTAAACTGTAACTCCCTCATCAGACATCACTGATCATCTGTTGGGCTTAATGACCTACCAATAAAAACTAATTTGATCTTAATTGAATCTCAATGTGAATGTTTTTTTAGAAATAAACAAATTACAATTTTCTATATATACCAATTTTTCTCATTGCTGCCTTTTCAGTGACTTTTCATTAAACCTCAGATACTGGTTCATCAAATGAGTAACATGTTATGGGCTTCCTTATTTCTCTAACTCCCTAATTCCTTCTTTTCCCATATTTTGGGGTACTGGAAAATTTAGGAATCAACAAGCAATAACCAAACAATTCCATTAATAAATGGGCAAAGGACATTAACAGACACTCAAAAAAAGACATACATGCAGCCAAAAAAGATATGAAAAAAATGTTCAACATCACTAATCATTAGAGAAATGCAATTCAAAACTACAATGGGATATCATCTCACACCAGTCAGAATGGCTATTCTTTAAAAGTCAAAAAATAACAGATGCTGGTGAAGTGGTGGAGAAAAGGCAACACTTATACACTGCTGGTGGGAATGTAAACTAATTCAGCCACTATAGAAACCAGTTTGGAGATTTCTGAAAGAAGTTAAAACAGAGCTGTCATTTGACCCAACAATCCCATTACTGGGTATGTATCCAAACAAAAATAAATCATTCTAATAGAAGGACACATGCACTCATTTGTTCATTGCAGCACTATTCACAATAGCAAAGACATGGCCTCAACCTAAATGCCCAACAACAGTGGACTGAATAAAGAAAATGTGGTACATATACACCACAAAATACTACACAGTCATAAAAAGAGTGAGATCACATCCCTTGCAGCAACGTGGATGGAGCCGGAGGCCTTTATTCTAAGTGCATTAACAAAGGAACAGAAAACCAAATACCACATGTTCTCACTTATAAGTGGAAGATAAGCACTGAGTACATATGAACACAAAGAGGGAAATAACAGACACCAGAGCCTATTTGAGAGTGGAGTGTGGGAGAAGGGTGAGGATCAAAAAACTACCTATCGGGTACTATGCTTACTACCTGGGTGATGAAATAACCTGTACACCAAATCCTTGTGACATACAATTTACCCTTATAACAAACTTGTACAGGTATTGCTTGAACTTAAAAGTTAGAAGAAAAAAATTAAATTAAAAAGAAAAAGATTCTGAAACCTGTTGGACAGATTTTTAAAAACTCCTTGAAGTTGCTGCCTACCCCATGGAAAAGCAAAATGAATGCAAGAACCTTTGTCTTTTTCCTCATAATAAACGAAATGTAAAAGAGGACAGGTGTCATTTCTTCTTGCAAGGTAGGAACTTAGAAAATAAGTTGGACTAGAATGTATTTATTTATGCTGATAATGTTATCTTTACAATTTCCCTGCTTTCAGAAAAACCAAAAGTCCTTATCCGTCCACTCAATTTAACTTGTCAAATATTCATGAGTACCTCTAGAGAAAATATATTCTGCTAAACACTGTGGGAGATTTAAAAAATAGTGACACATACTTGTGTCCTAATTGTAGAAATAAGACATGTTTACAATTTTATTTCAAGGCTGAATGTGTAAAGAGAGGCATATAAAAAGTCACATGGATGGTTCAAAGGGAAAAATAGCTTCCCTCCATTTGAAGAGAACCATTCTGCCAGTCTAGTTCTGTGTTAAGATATGTGACTTCAATAAGTTTCTTTGACCAGGGAGCATAAAACAAAAAATAAGTGTATATTAATTATTAGTGATCAGTTTCTGAGTTGAGAGAAAGATCTAGAGAACTTGGACCAAGGGGCAAGCAAGTTTTCATATTGCTCTAGAGGACAGAATAAAGATTTGGATCTAGAAAAACCTTGGAGGCCAATTTCAAAGGTTTATAGTGTCAAATTGGAACCAACCAAAATGTCCAACAATGATAGACTGGATTAAGAAAATGTGACACATATACACCATGGAATACTATGCAGCCATAAAAAAGGATGAGTTCATGTCCTTTGTAGGGACATGGATGAAGCTGGAAACCATCATTCTCAGCAAACTATCGCAAGGACAAAAAACCAAACACCAAACTATATATAATATATATTATATATAAACAATATATATTATATATATTATAAACAGTATATAATATATATTATATATAAATATATATAAAAAAGAACAAAAAATATATATATATATATATAAAAGAACAAAAAAAAGAAGTTTAATAGTGGTAAATTGTGGACATTGAGGGATATAGTGTGAAACAAATACAGGGTTGGGTCATCAAATCAGATTCACAGCGATCAGAGATCTTACCCAGAATCAAACCATACTAACAAGTTTAAAGAGAAAGAAAATCATGAGAGAGGGGAAGGATGGAGAAGCTGGGATAGCCAGTGTCACTTTCAGGTCATTTTGTGATGCATTAGTATCTGCTCTGATCTAGATTTAACATGAGCTCTAAGTGTTGCATGCAAAGCACTGCTTACATAAAAGCGAGCCATCACTGTCATAAAATATCTTAATTTTTTTTTTTTTTTTTTTTTAGACGGAGTCTCGCTCTGTCACCCAGGCTGGAGTGAAGTGGCGCAATCTTGGCTCACTGCAAACTCCACCTCCCAGGCTCACGCCGTTCTCCTGCCTCAGCCTCCCAAGTAGCTAGGACTACAGGCGCCCGCCACCACGCCTGGCTAATTTTTTGTATTTTTAGTAGAGACGGGGTTTCACCGTGTCAGCCAGGATGGTATCGATCTCCTCTCCTCGTGATCCGCCTGCCTCGGCCTCCCAAAGTGCTGGGATTACAGGGGTGAGCCACCGCGCTCGGCCAAAATATCTGAATTTTATTCTCAGTTACTAGTTTGTGTGATGTTTTCCAGGTAGCCTGCCCTATAAATTCACACATTTCCAGGTTTATTTAACATAAGCAATCCTAGACAGACCAGATACATGTGCAAAAGTTCTCCACATGTAAGAATTCTCCCACTATTAAATAGCAGCAGATCTTTCTTTAGAATGTTTACAAGGGTTTTTGATGGATCTTTTCTTCCAAGGGCATCCCACAGCAGGGTGAGAAAATGACTTGTAGGTCTATGGCTAACATTTTTCTTTCCAGTCCACACTCTGACTTTAGTCACTAATCCCTTGGTACATATTTCTCAAGCATCTTTTCATTATTTGTCTTAAAGTATTTTATACAGATGAATAAGTCTACTAACATCCTGACAACTACCATGTTTTGAAACATCCAATGGGGAGTAGGAATGTCCTCTACAAAGGATGTTAATTGCAACTATATGTTTTTCACAAGTCTTTTGCTGTTCTCTTACAAGTTTGATTACTCTTTTTCCTCTATCACCTATAGTTATTTGAACCATTGATATGTGTTGATGGAGGCAAACAAAGTTGAGTTCACTTTTATTTCTGGCCAATTGGTTTCCATATGTAACATTTACAGTCTCCAAGTTAGCCTCCCAAAGTATTTT
The DNA here is from genome assembly GCF_000001405.40 of Homo sapiens. NCBI lineage: Eukaryota > Metazoa > Chordata > Mammalia > Primates > Hominidae > Homo > Homo sapiens. Next base: position 89,993,210 of record NC_000007.14, read on the forward strand.
CTAATCTTTGTAAAATTCTATCGGTTAACAAGGCATTTGTTATACTATATAGCTGTGACAGCAAGATTAAAGTAACATTTAACATACCATGAAATTAGATAAAAATTATAGTGTCATTCCCTCCCAACCATTCCCTCCCAATAGAAATGATATTTTTTCCATGTGCCACATGTTTCCAAATGCCTTAGGAGGTTATTGTTCAGAATATTCTAGATTCCATCTGGTTTTTGATATAACCATATCCCTGCTACCAGTGTGCAGGTATTTACAGACACAGGTTTCCATGTGGCATTTTTTAATATCCTCCTTCTATTTCCCATAATTATGACACAGTGTGTTCACTATCTGTTTTATCCAAACCAATTACAACCTGAAAGCAAACTCACTTTGCATTTGTGACACCTAGGTCATTAGAAAATGATGATAGAAGTCTCATCGTCCAGTGACAACCTGCTATAATTTAGAATTAGCATAGTGTTCCCACAGTGTACCTTCCCAACCTGGCTTTTGACCACTCTTGGCCACTGGCCTTTGAAAACATCAGAATCAATAGTGACTAGAGTATCTGATAATTCTTCTTTGATAAGAGTATGAACCCTTTCCCAGGGTTGCCAATGATTATAGCAGTCCAATAGAATAATTATTCAATTAGTTTATTTACTTAGAGCTTTAGAATCCCCTCAAAGTGATTTTTGTGGCCAACCTCTTAGAAAAGCACTCCCTTTAGTGTCACTGTTTGGGTTATCAAGTCTTTTTCTTAATGAGGACAATCATCCCAGAACATTATTTCAGACTGACCTACATATTTATTTCAAAATCAAAGCTATCCCAAAGCCATCTCTTAAAATCTCTACAGAACATCTGGTATGGCATGGCCATTGGTGATCAAGCTACCACATATGTTGCTGCCATTTCACTTGTATGGGATTGGTACCATTTGGAAAAACAGTCTGAAATGGAAAATTTTGTGTGCCCCATGAGGCTATCAGTTGTGTATATTTTACCTGCAAACACAGTTCCATCTTACTACACAATAAGGCTTCCCATAAACATCCTTATGTACCTCCAGAAGGGACTTATTAGTAATATAGGATTACTGGGTTCCATATTAGCTTTTTTAAAGTGCATTTCATCCACATTCACATTTGATATACTCGAAGGAACAAAACAAGCTCTAATATACTTGACAAATGGCATCAATCTGCTTTCCATCATATCCAGATAGCTGTTACAGCAATATGTCACCATGACTTAAGCCCACACGGAATTCTTAAGCTCTGCTGTTTGGCATTCTCTGCCCTATAAGATTCATGGTAGTATTTATCTCAAGTCAACTGAGAAATAACCAGAATGGCAAATTCAGCTTGTAAACAATGAGCTGAATGATAGTAGTAGTCAGCTGTCAGTAAGTTGATTCATCAGGAAATGCTGTGTCACTTCTTTTCTTAAATTACCCAAGTGGAGTCCAATTTCTCTTCCTTAGACAAAACAGATGAGGAGGTTTCTCCCATACCCACCATTACTCATTGCCAGACTTGAGAGAGATAGCTAAGAGTATTCTTCTCTTGTCCTTATTACATTCCTCTCTGGGATCATGTCCCACCTCTGTTTGCTGTGATACACTCCATTTCCATTTATAACCTGCCCCCTTTATCCTTTTTCCCACGGTTGTGTTTCTTATCTGAAATGTACTGTTGAACCATAACACTGGCAATAACAAAATCTTTCCTAATGCTGCTCCTTGGCCTCACTCCCTGGGATAACTTGTCAACCCATAACATCTCTGCCATTCAACAGAATCTAGAATTACTGACATGTCCCCATTCATCAATTTTAAGAATCCACAACAATAATTAAAGAATGTGTTACAGGGTGTTGCTAACACCTCCTTTTCCATTGCTTAAGAGAAATAGGGCAGGATGAAGGGAGACTGCATCAAATGGGAGGCAGAAGTGCCAAATTTCAGCCAAATTCAGCTTTACCCAGGATCAAAATTTATTAACGTAATGACTCAATTTTTATTTTTATTTCATTCAAAGTTTATGACGTTTCTTTTCTTAAATAACTTTTTTATTGATTATGAAATAAATATGTGGGATTAGGTTAAAACATTAAAACCAAATTGACTTATTTCTTCTGACATTCTATAGCAGACATAAGTATTCTCTGAGATTTTTGGAAGAACTTCCTTGTATGCAGAAGTTCCACAGTAGCTGTTAGGAGCAGGAGTAAAATTATGACTCTGGGAGTTTAATCACTGCAGTCCTTGCCAGGCCTTCACACTGAAGTGCTGGAAAGCTCTGGGCAAATTACTTACTCTCTCAGTGTTTATTTCTCCAACTGAAAATTAGGTTGATTTCTCCAACTGATAATTAGGTTGAACTAGTAATTTTTTCTGTATTGTTTGTGATATTTTAGGAAGATATCACCCTTGACGGTTTTCTATGACTTAAGAAGTTGAATCAAGTTTCAACTTCTTAGCAAGACATACAAGTTACTTCAAAATCTGTGACCTCCCCTCCACCGCCAAAATGCTTCATTTTAACTCCTATTATTCCCTTTATGTACACCAATGTCAGCAAACTTTTTCTGTAAAAACCGAGTAGCAAATATTTTCACCCTGGCAGACCATATAGTCTCCATCAGAACTACTTAATTATTTTAACACAGAGACAGTTTCATTTTCACACTGCTGATAAAGACATTCCTGAGACTGGGCAATTTACAAAAGAAAGAGGTTTATTGGACTTACAGTTCCACGTGGTTGGGGAGGCCTCACAATCATGACAGAAGGTGAAAGGCATGTCTCACATGGTGGTGGCAAGAGACAGAATGAGAGCCAAGCAAACGGGTTTCCCTTTATCAAACCATCAGGTCTCGTGAGATTCATTCACTATCAGGAGAACAGCAAAGGAAAGGCCTGCCCCCCATAATTCAATCACCTCCCACTGGTTTCCTCTCAGGACACATGGGAACTGTGGGAGTTACAATTCAAAATGAGATTTGGGTGGGGACACAGCCAAACCATATCAGTCAGCTATAGACAATACGTAAATGAAAGAGCATGGCTATGTTCTAACCAAACTTTCTTTATGGACACTGAAATATGCATTTTATATAATTTACATGTCACAAACTACTATTCTTTTTATTTTTTTCAACCATTTTGTACAGCTCATGGGTCTTACAAAAGCAGTCAGTGGGCTGGATTTAGCCCTTGAGCCATAGTCTACCAATCCCTAATGTATACTGTGCTTACATCATGCAAAATGTCTCTCCATTTCCTAAATAATTAAAGTATTTTCAAGGTTCAATGCCATTGCACATAAGGATTCCTTTGCCTAAAACATCATTATTTCCACACCCTCATTTTTTCCTGACAAATTCCTACAGGCCAATCAAAGGTTGCTCACCTAGTATCCCTCCCCAAATCTTCTGCAATCTTTCTATCTCAATATGACAGGATCAACCATTCAGTGGGTTAAACCAAATACCTTACTCACGCTTGACTATTTCTCTCACATCTCACATGCAATTCATGAGAAAAATCTTCCCAGTACTATTCCAAAATACATCCCAAAACCTACACTTCTCCGTATGACAGTCTGAGACACCATCATCTCTCCCATAGACTGTTTCCAACATATAAGCCAGAGTGCTATTCCTGAAACATGCTTCCCAAGCTCCCATCTCAGGACATTTTTCATTTGCTATTGTTCATGTCACAAACATTCTTCCCAGAGATATTTCCAAAAATCATTCACCTGCTTCAAGTCTTTGTGAAAATGGCAAAATTTCAGAGACAATTTCTAAACACTCTCTAAAAATTTCAAACTCCACCACTCCCAAAATTCCATATCTTCTTTCCTGGTTTATTTCCTTCTTCACATTTACAGCATTTGACATATGATATGTTTTACTTTTTGGTTTATCATCTGTATCTCTCCACCAGAATGAAGTTTCACATCAGGAAATTTTGCCTGTTCGTTCACTGCAGAATCTTCAATGCCTCAAACATCATCTACCACTTGGTAAGTTTATTCATCACTTACTATGTTACAGATTCTATTACAGGCAGGCTCACTTTGCCTGAATCCTCAATGTCAAGTCCTTATTTAACATCTCCGTGTTCTGAATGTTCCTTCAAAATTCATCATTGCAGAGAAAGACAACTCTTATACAGTGTCGATGAGAATGTAGATTAGTACAGCCATTGTGGAAAACAATATGGAGGTTTCTCAAAAAACTAAAAATAGAACTGCCATAAAATCCAGCAGTCTCAAAAATATGTAGGTATTTACCCAAAGGAAAGAAAATCAGTACATCAAAGGGATTCCCACATCTGCTGATTATCGCAGTACTGTTCACAATTACCAAGATATGGAATCAATCTAAGTATCCATCAACAGATGTATGGATAAAGAAAATGTGGTGTATATATACACAAAGGAATACTATTCAGCAATAAAAAGGGAGTGAAACTGTCATTTGCAGTAACATAGATGTAGCCAGATATCATTGTGTTAAGGGAAATAAGCCAGGTACACAATGAAAAATATCACATGTCCTCACTCATATGTGGGAGCTAAAAATGTTGATCTCATGGACATAGAGTAATAGTACCATATGCTGGGAAGGGGGTGGGAGAAGACAGGTTGCTCAATGGGTACAAAAATACAGTTAGACAGAAGGAATACGTTCTAATGTTTCATAGTAAAGTAGAGTGACCATAGTTAATAATAATTCATTATATATTTCACAACATCTAGAAGATTTGAAATGTTCCCAGCACAAACAAATGATAAATGTTTGAGGCGATGACTATCCTAATTACCTTGATCATTACCCATTGTATGCATGTATCAAAATATCACACATTTCTCAAAAATGTATAATTATTATATATCAATAAAAAATTCATCATAATAAACCCTTTAAAATCAAGGAAAAACGTATTCAGATCTGTCATGACTCTATGCCAAAAACTCACATTGGACTCTACTCCAAAATTTTCCATGTGTACCATATTACAATTTTAGGGTTTTATTAAGCCTTTTGGGAACATCAGAGACATAAACAATAGGTGATTTAAAATCAAAATGAAAGTATATAATGCATTTTAATGACTTTAAGATTAAAATATTCATTTCTGTTACCAACTATTACTTTTTTAGCATACTCTCTATTAGAATCTACAACTTCAACTCAGATTTTTGCTACATTAAACCAGTCTTAAGAAATATTTTTTTACCCAAATACAAAAGTGGTCAATCAAACCACCCACTCATTTACTACCTCTTGAGGATACTTTTAAAAGGCTCAGTTAGCCAAAAAGCCACTTTTCTTCTAGCAGGATATATATAGACATTGAATCTGAATAAATTACTGGACTAAACCTGCATAGGCAAGTAACTTAGTGCTTTTATGTAGCAAAGTGTTTGCTATATATTGTACAACGTATTTGACAAAATCATTTGATTCTGTTAGATGTGCTCATCTTGCTATGGCAGACTTCAGATATTACATCATTGATTACATCATCATTACAATCACTTTAGGTTTGTCTCCAACCTTGCCTATTTAATTCCTTTGACCCAAAATCAAAAAAATAAAAACAGAATATTACAATGCAACGAAGAGGGAGAAATTCACCAAATGTCAGTATTTAGTTACTAAATTTGATAAATATAAATTATTGATATATGAGTAACAAAAATTAATTTTTAGTAGTGATCAGAAGATATAAAATCACTAGGAAATCTTAACTCAAAAAAATTTCCACATAAGATTGAATCTATCATATATCTATTTCAGAGCTTTTGTTGGTATTGGGCAATTTGAACTGCTTTAAACAGCACAAACCCTGTTTTTAGGTTAGGGCCAAAGCTGCAACTGACAAACATGAAAAGAAAAAGTCCAAGATATCATCACAGTTTATTTGTGAAAATTACCATTATATAAGGATAATTCTCCATAAACACAAAATAAATAAAAATTTAATAATCTTACTCATCACTCCTTGTTGAGGGATAAGTTAATATATTTAATGAGCTTGGAACAGTGTCTAGAATGTATTAAACTTTAAATAAATGTTGGTTATTGTTGTTTTGCGCAATGAGAGTAGTACTACCAGAAACTGGAAAACGCACAACCTATATAGTTTGATATTCCAAGGTAGGTTCTTAAAGCCACAGGGTAAATACACATCTTTATAGAATATCAGTTTTAACTTCCACAAGCAAATCAAATTAATTTAAAACTTTTAAATTAAAATAAATATGGATATACTATGCAGTTAAATACAACATGCAAATTAATATTTTAAATAATAAACTATATTTAAAAGAAATTTTCCCATTCATGGAGGAGAGTTTCAGGATGCATTTACAAACCTAGCTCAATCTCTTCCTCTTAGGGATATTTTGGTAACAAAACAGGCTTTGACAAGCATTGCTTTATGAAGCACCCTCTTTGTGCCTATATTAATAAAAAAATAGCATATGTCTGCCCTCATTCTCCATGTAGAAGAGTAAATCTTATCACCTTGCTCTGTCTAGCTCTTCAAGGACCAACATTTTTTTCTTGCTGCCTTCTTCACCAAGGGTATGTGGAAGCAAACCTGAGCTAATCCTTGCATCTACAATTCTTTTACTTTGAACATTGCAGAACTAAAATTTACTAATACCTACCTGAAAACTCCCAAAATGCATTTGTTTTTTAATATTTGATTAATAGATTATAATTAGGAAAGAGTAAGTACCATATATTTGCATCTTGATGAGGATATTTAAAAGGAAGAAATCAAAATAATGATTTCTGGTGTTTTTGAGAAGTTCTATAGAATTTAGTGTTTATATCTTGATTACAAAGCCTCTTCATAATTTACAAGTTGTGTCTCAGCTCTGCCTCCCATTTAAATCTGATTAATCCAGATGACCTTGTTCTAACAGCAGGTGGGTTACTGTGATTTATTTTGGGGAATTGCTAATGAGAAAGAAAAAATGTTAATTATAAAATATCTGTGTCCTAGGCAAACAAAATATAATTTTTTGAGGCCACATATTTGAGGAATTATATCCAAATCTGGTATATTTAAGACTTTCTACACTGAGTTGAAAAATATCAGAATATCCACCTCTCACAGAAAGAATTTAAAAATGAAGTACCTAGTTAATATCAAACCCTGACAATGTGTACTAGGAGAACAAATAATTTGTGAAATTAACTTATAACCACCTGATATTTAGACCTAATTGTTTATATTTGTATTTTCTAGATATACTTGTGTATGTATATCTATGTATACATATACACATAATAAACATGTATATACAAAAAATTATTAAACTTGTACCAAAATATTCTAGATTAATGTAATATATTTCCACCAGGTGAAACTAATAAATAAGCTGAAATGAGAGAAAATATGTGGGTTTTGCTATTTTTTCTGATTCTAAATTTCTTGAGTGAAATTTACAAAGTCAGAATATATTGCCAAAAATTATGACCTAGAAACTATATTTCAGAATGGTTAATACAGCAGTCAAAACATGTGACATAGAAAGAACACAGCATTCTTATACCTTTTGGATGCTGGTAAATTTTAATTTTTTTTTACTTCTACAATGATTACATTAATAATTGCTTAATAATGTCGTTACACTGTATATTTATGTTTTACACATGCCTTTGTATGCACATCACATTTTACAATTAAAAAGGATTACCTGAAAGAAAAAGATAAAAGTTGCAAAATTATTTACTAACACCATAAAGAGTCCAGTAAGACACCTAGAAACGAAATCAACTTCCCTATAGGTCACTGTTTTTCTGATCAATAGCAATTGCTAATAGTGTAGAGTAACTAAATAATTAAGATACTTAGGGAAACATCTAATAGGGAATATTTGAGTTTTGCATGAAAAAAACATAAAAGTATTGAAGAATTTTTTTAAATTCTGAATAAATAGACATACTGTTGGATAGGAAGACACAATATAGTAAGCATATATATATAGTAAGCATATATATAGTATATATGTATATATATTGTGTATATATATGGATGAATCTATGAGTATATATATATAATAAACCCCCAATTCAACATCCTATATTTTTTATTTGAATTCTAAAAATAAATCTGTTTTTACAATACATAAACTATATGTTTATACTTATTCTGGTTTTTATTATAAAAAATTTCAAAGACACAGAAAAGTAAGTTTATTTTTATAGGGTGTTTTAAAATAAACACTAAGCTTAATACTTAGACTTAACAATATGTAACCATATTTGATTTATTTATTCATTTATGTATTTGCTTGCTGTAATAAATTAAGAATATCACAGCATTTCTATCTTAAGTATTTTAGTATGTATTTCTTAAAAAATGAAAATATGTTTCTGCATAACCACCATAAAAGTCAATATCTAACAAATTAATATTATCTAGTTCATATTTCCTTAACTACCCTAAAAATGGCTTTTATTGCTCATTTGTTCACACTAGAATTAAGACTGACATGTGCCATTTGGTTAGGCCTTTTAACATAGACTTCCCCTGCCACTTCACCACTTCAGACACACACACACACACACACTTTTTCATTTCTTATCATTGACATGTTGACCAAGATAGTTATGTCGAATCTCCCATATTATGAACTATCTTTGTGGTTTTTCTAAATGTTTTCTCATGGTCTTGTTTAGCATTTTCTTCTTTATTCTCTGTATTTCCCAAAAAATAAAAGTTAGACATAAAAGCTTGATTAGATTCAGGTTTAATACTTTTGACAAAAATGTTTAATAGGTGATGCTGATTCTGCTTATGAAATTATAGAGGTACAAAATATCTGGTTGTCCACTGCGAGTGTTGTTATGGTTGATCTTTGGGTTCAGGTGGGGAGAGCCTGATCCCTCCATTGTTCAGTTACATGTTTTCCTTTTGCATCCTTAAAGTATTCTGTAGGTAGTACTTTTCCACTATGCAAATATTGAGTTCCTCAGCAACCTTTCACCTAATGGTTTGGCATACACTGATGATCTTTGCCTAATTCAATTACTTTGTTATGAATTACAAAAAAAGTGGTTTTTCTAATTGTATTATTTATTCCATAGTTATTAATTTCCATTCTTCAAAAAATATATATTTTTGAGATAATTTGTCTACGCTGAAATACATTTCCAATTAGAATGAAAGAATAAATGCTTATTTCTTTCTTTTTAATTAGCAATGTATATGTCTAAAAGGTAGTGTAATAGTCACCTCTACCAGTAACAAATAAGGTTGGTTTTTGTGTTTTCTCTTCTCTGATATCATTATGTATCCACGTGTTTCAAAGAATTGTAACTATTATTCTTTCAGTGATAAAACTGTCTCATCTTTTTGGCCAAGAGAGCCCCGCAGGCTGGTTCCTGTGCCGTGTTGAAAAATACGTCATTAGTCTTTGAAAGCTTCTTTGCTTTCTGGCACAGCAAGATCTTCCTGGCTCACCTTTTACATTCCTTTTTACACACCTGGAAACTGCCATATCTCTAAGAAACCTTGTTATTTGTGGAGAGCCATATTTAGAGACCACAGTCAGGGTGCTAAAAGGGTTCATTGCTAAGGGTAATGCTTCTTCAATCTCCCTTTCTAGAACGGTGCTACAAAATATAATTTGTTATTAGAAAAAAATCATAGGTTCACATGAGTATTTTCAATGCACGTTGAACATGACAGGGTTTTCAGTTAGATTATTTGTTATTATACTGATTTATTTTACCCACATTAAATTAAAATAATACTATTATTAAAATTAAAACTACGAAGTAAAATTATTAGATTGAGTGAAAAAATATACTTTCTAATCCTTCTAACATAGCAGTTCAAGGTATAATAATTAAACCATAGTGGTATGAGTACAGAATTATTAAATATAGATCAGTGAAAGAAAGTTAACATTTCAGAAAGATTTAAAATGACATTTTGAATTAGTGGTGAAATATGAACATCCACTAAATAGTATGTGTACAACCAGCTACATGATTGGAAAAAAATTGTTAAATTCTTCTGTCATAACATACATAAAAATATTTTTTACTTGAATTCAAAAGCTAAAGCAAAATCAAAAGCATTATAATAAAACACAGGAAAGATGCTTTCAATCAGATAGAAAGAAATGCCTTGTTAAACAAGATGAAAAGCTAGATTTTATTAAGGGAAAGATTAATAGACAAATACTTGAAAAAGACTTGAAACTAGATAAATACTTGAAACAAAAGTTTCAAATACATGACATTACGAGAAATATTCACAATACATTATCTAGTGTATCATATACCATTAGATAATACAGGAAAAACTCCTATAAACCAATTTTATAAGGAGAAAATGTCAATTAAAAATGATAAGCATATGAATATGCAATTTACAGAAAAAATACAAGTAAACATCTGAAAAGATGTTCAGCCTAATATTTAAGAAAATGTAAGTTAAAATAATCATAAGATCATTTTTGGCAAAGGTATTATCAAAAATTAAAATTAAAATGGTTAAATGTTAGCCAGGATGTAGGAAACAGAAATTCCCAGAGTTATGGCAGGAGCATAAATTGGGTCATCTTTTGGGGAGGGTAGTATGTTAACCAACCAAAATGTTGAATCTTTATGACACACCAGCTTCATTTCTGGCTATCTAGCCATAGAAATACACATAGTTAAAAAGATTATGTGCAGGAATATTTATTAAAGCATTGTTCACAATACAAAATTTTGAATAACTTTGTTTATCCACTGATGTATAAGCAGCTTAGAAATGTATGGTATATTTAGAACATAAGGAAAATATATGTGTGCCAGTTTCATATTTATGGCACAGAATATGTATGGTAAGATCTAATGTATTTTTCAAAACATATATGCAAAAATATGCAAATAATTGCATATGCTATATATAAAGAAAGGGGTGAAGACTTGCTCTTTGTCATATGTAAATATGAATTGATAACATCTCTGTAGTTATGTGACAAGGAAAGAACAGCTAGCAACAGGATATATTTTATAGAGAAAACAATTTTTTGAAAAATAACCTAATAAGAACTTAAAATAAATGGCAAAACCCAGAAGACAGATGTTGGTTTATACAAAGATTTCAGAGAATGGGTGATACTGCTGTGCATGACCCAGAAGAGTAACATTCCAGAGAAGATGACAGAACAAAGCAGAGAGAACGAATGATGGTAAGAAAGAGAAAGATGAAAGACGAGAGGATGATCAGTCACAACTTTAGTGGTAACATGGCTAAGAAGTACTTTAGATAAGAGGAAATCTCTAAAATGAGATTTTTAGATGTTTGCATAGAGCAAAGAAATTTTTCCTGGAGACGTACAACTCATGGCAAAAAGGCTGCCCTATGTGAGTTATGTTATCTATAAATGCTTTATGTGAGTTATGTTACCTACATAAAAGCTAAAATAATACTATTAAAATTAAAACTACTAAGTAAAATTATTAGACTGAGTGAAAAACATAGATCTTAATTCTTAAACCATATCACTTCACAGAGCATAAATGCTCCATGTGAGTTATGTTTCTGTAAAAATAACAGTGGAGAGGTTGTCGTAACCTTTGGGGAACAAGACAAACTTGTCACATGTGATGAAGCCCCTAGACACAAAGGTGGCAGTAAGAAGTCTCGAGATCGCATCACTGCACTCCAGCCTGACGACAGAGCGAGACTCTGTCTAAAAAAAATAAAAATAAATAAATGCTTTTAAAAAAAGCTCCAAGGATTCAGAGAAAGCTTAATGAAACCTGTAGAGACAGATAAAGCGTGGGGTAGAGTTTTTACATCATTTTGCCCAGCTTTCAATGACCCAGCATACCCCAGACAACATCTGAATTGTATGTGCTTCTGGATTGCTTGTGTTTGGGCAGGGGGGTTGTTTGTTTTGCTATAAAAATGTGTTTCTAATGTATGAAGAGAAGGGAGAAAGAAAGAAAGCTAGGGAGGTAGAGAAAGGAAAAGAGGAAGGAAGGGAGGTAAAAATAAAAGAAGACAGGGATTACTATGGCTTGAATGATTTTGCGCCCTCCAGATTTCATGTTGAAAGTTAATTCTCAGTGCAACAGTATAGAGAGGTGTGGCCTTTGGGAGGTGATTGAGTCATGAGGCCTGTGCCCTCATAAATGGATTAATGCTGTTATAAAAGGGCTTGACAAGGGGGTTCATTTTCTTTTCACCCTTCCATCTTTACCTCCAGGTGAGGACACAGCCTTCTTTCTTTCCAGAGGAGGTGGCATTAAGGCATCATCTTGGAAGCTGAGAGTAGCCCTCCCTAGACAACCAAAGCTGCCACTGCCTTGATCTCAGACTTCCCAGTTTCTAGAACTAAGAAAAATAAATTTCTGTTCTTCAGAAGTTACATCATCCCAGGTATTTTGTTATAATAGTACAAAAAGGACTGAGACATAGATATCTAGCACTCCTTAATGAACTAGGAGAAAAGCTATCTGAATAATGTCTAATAATCACTATCTTCCTTCTACTAGTTCCTCCTTTACCACCCCTATTTCATTTAATAATATTGCTGCTTGCTCAGTTGCTTCACCTTAAACTTTACTATTATGTTTTATTCTTCAGTACTACATTATTCTTCTCCCCAATTAGTTGCAACATCCTGATGAATCAACCTCGCCTAAAAATAAGTCATCTTCCACCTGAGAAAAGCATCCTCTTCACCTCAGAGCTTCAAGAAGAAAGTACATGTGGTGCAGAAAAAGATAAGATATTCATCTAACCAGCCAAATCAGGCATAATCAACTTTGGTAGTGAAATAGTGACAGATGGTGCAGGCTGTTCAACTGCATATTCAATTCCATTATTCCATCTCTTACATGCGGCCCCTCTTCTCCTTTCTGACTGCCACTGTCCTAACTAAAGTAGCATCACTTCTCACCTGGACAAAAGCAGGTGCCCAACTTCTGGCATCTGCCACTCCATTCTGTGCAGAGATTCTAGATGAATATTTGTCTCAATCATTTGTAAGGCACTGAAATGACTTGGGCTAATGTAAGCAGAAAAAGAATTGTGTACAGAATACCAGAAGGCCCTCAGAATGAGTTGGAAGGCTATAGAACAAAGCTCAGGAAATTAAGAAAGATCAAGTAACGCCAGGGAGGGAGAAATATAGTCAAGGTCATGTCACGAGAAGACTTAGGGCAGACACGGCCACTGGTGCCAATACAATGGATGATCAGCAGTACCTTGGCTAGATACACTGTTAACATTATAGATCGCTGTATGTCACTACATCATCTCATTAATCCCTCAAGTCAAAGAATTACATAGGAGTTTCTAATTGGCTGAATTAAGGCGAAGTGTCTCCTTCTTCAAGTGGGAAGGATAAATGTCTGCCCTCTATTTGGTTTCTACAGTGGGAGACAGAACTCCACTTCAGATTAATACATAATAGAGAATTCTCCCCAAATTGGAATGGTAATTGCATTCTTGGTAGCCAAAAATAATAATAAGTTTTCACTGCATTCGTCTTTAAAGGAAACCCTAAGCCTTGTTACACCTCTTTCAAACTCATTACTGACTACTTATTGCCAACTCTATAAAATCTACATTTCTAAATATAAGTAACATCTAGGCAATAATCAAACCATCTCTTGAATTCCCTTTCTAGACTTCTTTCTTTGAATTGATTCTTAACAGACCATTCCCCTATTCCATTGTTTCTATTATATAGTTCTTCCTGCTGGTAATTATCTTCCTTAATTCTACTTTTACAAGCGTTACACCACCTTCAACATTCCCTGAAATGCAACCTTTTCCAACAATTCCTTGTTTCCTGTTAACGTCTCCTTTTCCAGAGGTCTGTAATCAATTCTTACGATTTTATGTTGCCTTGGCATCCATTTTGAATATGTTTACTTTTCTCATACTAAAAGCAGGGCTCAGTCACCCTTGGCAGTTTTACAGCCCCACCCAGGTTCCTCAATGTAGTCAGTCCAGATGTCTGCTTTATACAAATTCTTCCTGGCAAGCACCTCCCTATGGAACAGCTAGATATAACCTACTCTACTGGCCCTGCTGACCCTCACTGTCTTCATGGACTGTGCAGATATACCACAGTGACCGCCTTTCAGTCACACTGTGACCTCCTAGAGCTCATGCCTGCTTGTTTTAAACTTACCAATTAAAACTCCTTCAGGAAACCTTTTTGGATAATGCCCTGGTCCCCAGCAAAGTCACTGACCCATGGGCTTCTCTCTCTCTACTCCCTCTCCCCTGGTGCTGACTGATCTCCAGGCATGTTGTTTACCCCCAGAGCCTGTAAGTAATAAAATCTTTATTTCTATCTTGTGTCCCTCCTAATCATTTAAGGGGTGCTTCATTATCTTAAAGACCCTAAATTTAAAGAGTCCCAATTTATAAGATTTACCTTCCTCCCAAATTATATTTTAATTATTTGTGTGTGTCCTATCTCTCCCTCTAGATTGCAGTCTCTCAAAGAGCAGAACATGATTTATTTTTCACATTTCTTCAAACATTTTTCACATAGGTGCCTAACAAATGCTGAGCTGATTGTGCAAATGTAGCATTCAAAAGCAAATATAAAACAGAATAATTCACAAGCAGAAATGGTTTACAGAATTACCATGGAACAAAAAGACGAGGATGATACAATAAGAGAAGATGAGCTCTACTTTACAAAAGCTCTTTGCAAACACAAAAGTCTGAGCATAAGTCATTCTTTATGCATTTACCTAACAAAAGTATTCATTTTCAAAAAGATTCACTATATCCTTTAAAAAGTAAACTTGCTAGGAGTATTAAAATGTCACTTGATTTGCAAAAATAGTTATTTTAAATATCTATTGTATAAAGAAAGTGCACATGTACATAAATACAAAGGATGAAATCTTTTCATCAAACTCCTACTCTTCCAAAAATACTCTCTCTGGCTCTGTATTCTACGACTAAACGGAGAAGAGGGACAATGAGCTGATTTAGCAGGCAGCTACAAATGGTGATTGAAGGATCTGAAAAAAGATCTATTAAAAGAGGTCAAGAGAATGAATATTATTCAGCATTAAGATTAAAGGTTGATTTGAGACAATTTAATAACAATCTATAAATACATGAAGGGCTCTCACACAGGGAATAATCACCAGCTGCTCTCCAACTCCAATTTGGACCAGAACAGGAGAAAAATTATGTTAGATAAAAGAAAGAATTATTGATAGTAGGAATTATTTAATACTAAAATGGATAGCTAAGGAGAGTTGTGGACTCTCGTACCTTGTAAGAGAGCTTTAAAATGTTGCTGATGAAAACACACAACCTGCCTGTGGGTAAAAGAATGCACTAGATAATCTCTCAAGATTATTTCCCCATTTCTAGAATCAGAGGTTTTAAATTTATTTCTCTTTTAGAAAATTTTACTTTTCTTTCAATTTCTTGTATTGTCTAAGGAAAACTGTGTTGAAAGAATAATTTTAGGATTTGGTTATATTCTAATTTTCTTCCACATCCATCTTTAAGTTCTGCCATTTTGATGATAACTTTCTGGCATTTATTTGAGTGTTAAACTTAGGGAGAAGGTGAGCAAGAATATATGCAATATAAATTTTGAAACATTTTACAGTTAGCTTCTCTTATATTTCATACCCAAGAGGTTTCTAGCAAAGTATGACTCTTCCACCTCCATAGTTATTCCTTCTCCCGTGTCCCAGAGCTGGTATATATTTGGATCAGGGAATTCCTTCTGCTCTGTTGTTACTTCCCACAAGTTGTCTGTGACATTTAATATAGGTCAAGAAAATTAATAGAAGGAGGCATAAAAATAATGTTGAGATAGCTACAACACAACTAGCCTCTAAGTTAACTGGGTTGCATATTACACTGAAATTTCCATTTGTTTTCAAGTATGTCCAAATGATCAGAGGAAACTAACCAAGTATGTTAAAAATCTCAGAATATAAGGAAAACTAGAATTTTTTTCACTAAATATCTACTGACAATACAATCAATTAGAGGAAGTTAAAGAGTTGTTAAAACAATTCCACTAGTATATTAGTTGGAGTTCTCCAGAGAAACAGATCAATAGTGTACATGCAGAAAGGGGACAGAAAGGGAGAGGTTTATTTTAAGGAATTGGCTCAAGATTGTGTGGACTGGCAAATCTGTATAATAGGCCAGTTGGCTGGTTACTTGGGCAAGAGTTGATATCAGAGTATTGGGTTACGAATCTGTAGCACAAGCCAGTATGCTGGAAATTCAGCAGGATTTCTGTGTTACACAATCTTGAGGCACAATTCCTTCTTCAGGAAACCTTAGTTTTCATCGTAACAACTTCAGCTAATTAGATGAGGGCCACCCATATTATTTAAAAAAATAACC
The DNA here is from genome assembly GCF_000001405.40 of Homo sapiens. Taxonomy (NCBI): domain Eukaryota; kingdom Metazoa; phylum Chordata; class Mammalia; order Primates; family Hominidae; genus Homo; species Homo sapiens. The sequence continues at coordinate 90,009,603 of NC_000007.14, forward strand.
ATTTTTATTTCAAGTCAGCTACTTGTAGATGTTAATTACATCTACAAAATACTTTCACAGAAACATCTAGCCTAGTGTTTGATCAAACTGGGCACCATAGCCTAACCAAGCTGACACATAAAATTTAACATTCACAAATGGGTTTCTCAATTTTAAATTTAGTAAGAAGGAGTTTTTTGCTGATTTCTTTGCTCAGAAATCCCTGTAATGAACTCATTCTTGATAATAAATATGGGCAATTTGCAAATAAGTCAATTTGCTTATTCATTCATTTAGTCAACAAACGCTTGTTGAGTATTCCCATGTCCTAGCACCATTCTAGGCACTAGGAATGTAGAAATAGAGAAGAAAAATAAGGCCCTCACCATCATAGACCTTATTACATTCATCTTGTTTGGAGTACTTATCACTATTCAACATTATATTGTATATCTATTAGCTTATTTGTTTATTGATTTACCCCCACAATAATATCATTTTCAACAAGTTAGGGACATTTTCTGTTTTATCATTGCTGTATGCCCAGCATACAGAACAGGTCCAAGTAGATAATAGGAAATGAAGACGTGTGCTAAATGAATTCAAGAATAGCCCAGCATAGCCTTTCCATCTTGAAGATGATAAAACAAAGACCCACAGAGGTTGACTTCTTAAAAGTCATACAATTTTAGTTATTCTACCAGGAACAGACCACAAATATCTAGGTTCATATATCCTCTGATAAACCACACATATAAAGGCACATTCAACAAACATTTATAAAAACTGGTCAATGTATGAAAATAATGGTCCCAACAAAGAACAATCACACTCATGAATTAGTCCAAGAGTATACTTTATTCTTTATCATCACCCTTCATGAAATAATGTCAGTTTAGGAAAGGCATGGTGGCTCATGCCTGTAATCCCAGCGCTTTGGGAGGCTGAGGCGGGTGGATCACGAGGTCAGGAGTTCGAGACCAACCTGGCCAACATGTTGAAACCCCATCTACTAAAAACACAAAAAAATAGCTGGGCGTGGTGGCAGGCACCTGTAATCCCAGCTACTTGGGAGGCTGAGGCAGGAGAATCGCTTGAACCCAGGAGATGGAGGTTGCAGTAAGCCAAGATTGCACCATTGCACTCCAGCCTGAGCAACAGAGCAAGACTGTCTAAAAAAAAAAAAAAAAAAAAAAAAAAAAAAAAAAAAAAAAAGAATGTCAGTTTGATAACTAAACTATTAAAGTTTAGTTCAATTGCTAAAGCTATCTATCTCAGCATTCCTCCGAAAGTAACCCGACCTTCCTACTGAAATTTCATTTCATGTGGCTGAAATGGAACCAGGTTCCTTTTCCTGGGTGCAGGAAAGGAGACACATGACACACCTAGGATGAATCACTCAGAGCACCCCAGTCCTCATAAATTGGTTTAGAGAAGGCACATAGCCCAAGGGGAACCCATCAGAGGCCATCTATGAGAGAAAGGCCCACTCTTCCTCTGAGGCCACTAAGTGTAAAAACCCAAATGTGTGAAGCTGCTGGCAGCAATCTTTTTAATTATGTGGAAGAAGCCAGCCTATAAAGGATGTCAAGTTATTAGAGAGGAAAACTTAAAGACAGAGAAAGAAAAAGATAGAAACCTAATGATATGACTTAGGGGCCTGGATCCAGCTGTGCCTGAATTTTCTATTTTTAATTACTTGGGGGCAATTAATATATGTATGTTTTTATTAAGAACATTTAATGAGATGTGTCATAAATATAGTTCTACAAATGTAAACTCTATGAATGCAGAGATTTTTGTACATTTTGTTCACCGCTGTATCATTAGCACCTAGAATGGTACCTTAGCTTCTGAAAGGCATTCAATAAATTTTTGAAATAATAAATCCCATGTTCACGATGTGTACAGCACCAGGCTTAAAACCTGCAAAGAAAATCAGGCCAAGATTTCTGGTAGTGATGTAAATTACAAAGCCCAAAAGAGTTACCATGTGCTGTGATACCTGTTATCTCATTAATCATAAACACAGGAGATAGTCGTTATTACAAATGAGGAAATTGAGCTCAGAGAGGTTAATTAATTTCCTTAAGGTCATACAGTAAATGATGGAGCTGGGCCTGAAGCCCTGGTGACCTGTCTGACTCTACTGTCTGCATGTGTTTCATTCATTAATTACAATACTATTTTATTTTGTAAAATATTTTGCCAGTGTCATTAGTCACTTGACACACAACAAGGAAAATTTAACCAAAACCTTTGTAAATAAGAATTTCAAAGACCTAGAGGTAAAACAACTTTTACCAAATCAAGCAGCAAGGATAGGAGAGCTGTAAATGAAATACAAGATTCACCACTTATTTAGCCCTTTGTGTCATATTTCAAAACATCTTCTAAACACTAATACAAAAGAATACACTGAAAGTAAATTACATACAAGGAATATCTGCAACATATCTCATGGAACCATTCACAGAATATTAGATTTAGAGGCTGGGCGCAGTGACTCACACCTGTAATTCTAGCACTTTGGGATGCCAAGGCAGGTGGGTCACCTGAGATCAGGAGTTCAAGACCAGCCTGGCCAACATAGTAAAACCTTGTCTGTACTAAATATACAAAAAAAAAAAATTAGCCAGATGTGGTGGAGGACACCGGTAATCCCAGCTACTCAGGAGGCTGAGGCAGGAGAGTTGCTTGAACATGGGAGGCGGAAGTTGCAGTAAGCCGAGCTCGCACCTCTGTACTCCAGCCTGGCTGACAGAGCAAGACTCCATCTCAAAAAAAAAAAAAAAAATTAGGTAAGAATTAGCAGGTAGTTCTTCCCACAGGGTTACACTTAAATGTATGGGTGTTTAAAGGGTACTTGGTGGCCTTGAATGTGATTGTGTACAATTTGCCATCACTCACATTGTAGAAATATGTTTTTCTATGACCGATGACATTGAAGGCAATGGTTTTGTTTCCTTTTCCTGAAAGATGATATCTCAGTATCAAATCTGTCCAGTTCTGCTTCTGAAAATCATATAGAGCAACAGGAATAATGAAGGAGAAAAACAGCTACATTTCTAGTAAAAGTAGGAGATAGAGAAAACCCAAGATTCATTAAGCATCTGTAAGCCTGGGCAATGACTCCCTAGAATGGCAGAATTGGCTGGGGAACCTGAAAGAGAACTATTAGAAAGTACAGGGGTGGAGAAGGAAGTACAGAATTCGCATATATTAGAGAGACTGATGGAAAATTAGGGTTGCAGAGGTGTTTAAAGATCCAAAAACATCACTAAAAATATTCACCCCTAGATAAACAGGGCCCCACATGAATGGGAAATTCTGTGGGTACGTCAGAAAGTAAATGGCAAAACTAGGAAACAGAATATCAATACCTAGATTCTGGGCAAGTATTGCTTAATGAAGAACCCAGCAGAAAACAACCTAAGGGAGCAGCAAGGGGGCTGCAGGGAATTATAGGAAGTGCCAAAGTCTTGGGTCTGGAAGCGTTCAGAAATTTTGCACAAATAACTCTTTCAGGAAGGAGTGTTACACTAAGAGAAAACTTCTAGAGAAGCCGCTAGATACGAAGAACAGGTTTGCTGAGGTAGCGAGAGCAATAAAGAGACACAAATTCTGGAAGGGTGCTGCCAAACAATTTGTAAAGTCACCTTGTAAGTCAAAGGCTGTGAGGAGATGTGGGAGAGATAAAACTGAGGTTGGGAGTCTTGCTAAAGCATACTGGGCTCGGAGAGTGGCTCCCCAGAAGAAAGGACTTTGTTTCCAGCCCCTGACCCTGGCTCCAGAGGAGGGAAGCCTTGAATTATGAAACCTGGAAAGCTCTTTTCCAATTCAACTTCACCCTAAAATAATCTCCCATCACCAGTTCAGGAAAATCTGTTTGGTTTAAACTGCATAACAGAAAACAAATTTGGTTTGTTTCCATACCAGCAAAGGTTGAAAATAAGTAGCTAAATTTTTCAACAAGCAATGAAAACTCAAAAATTTTGTTTTGAAGCAGATTAAGTTATAAACACACACACACACACACACATACACACACACACACACAACAGACATAGAGGGACTCATAGAAGAGAGGCCTAGAAACAAAGGATTTGCAGAACTCAAAAAAGAAATTGAAAAAAAAAAAGGACTAGATAATTTTAGAAACAAAGACAAATAAGAGCTACAATGAACAACAGACACCACAGAAAGATTAGTAATTAGAGTATAAAAAAGAAATGTGAATAAAATGGAACATATTAGAAAAGAAGAAAGGTTTGAAGAGAAGTGGATAGATATAGAAGAGAAGCAAAGAAGATCCAACATGTATTTGAAGCCCTGGGCAGGGGGAGCGGGGGCCAAGATAATGGAACAAAGAAATATTTGAAATTTTAATTATTTGTGACAGTTTTTTTTAAATGAGACATAAAATAAAAAACACATATTGCTAAATGGTATACTATGTATCAGTGAAAACACCCAGGTCAACACCAAGACAATCCCCACAAAAATTATTAAAAATCAAACATAAAAAAAAGAAAGATTATTTGGATATTCAGGCAACTAGATCAAGACACTTATAAATGACAGAAAAAAAAGTGGCATCAGACTTCTCACTGCAACACCAGAAAACAGTAAAGAAACACCTACAAGTTACTCAAAAAAATAAAATGTGAGGCAAGCATTGTATTTCAATCTAAGCTCCCCTTTAAGTATAAAGACAATGATCTTCTGAACATTAAAAAACCCAGGGTATGTTTCTCTAATTTCCCTTTCTGGGGAATCTACTATGGGATAAGCACCAGGCAATCAAGAAATTATTGGAGAAACTTTGCTGAAAGTTGATGGTGCACAATAATTACATTTAACAATAAAATTGAGGCTAAAAATGGGGAAGAGTGCTAAAGAATAGCATACAAATATTAGTATGATCTAGCAATATAAAAATAACACAAAATAAAAATTTAATTAACACAGAGATAAGAGAAAAAAAGCTAAATTCCTTGATTGTCCATAAGTTATGACCTGGAATATTGATATTTAAACTCAAAAATCTTTAGCGTATTTGAAAGCACAAAAATCAACACTAAGTTAAAGCCATTGGTGAAAATTAGATAATAGAAGAGAGAAAAGGGAAAGGAAGGAAAAGTTTCCACTCTAAATGTATTCTTGATGATAAACAATGTAAATAAAGGGGATTATTTGTATTATGTAAGATATTAATGTAAAAGTAACCACTAAAACAAATTACAAACTTTCCTAAATTTCCAAGAATTCTAAAAATAGAAGAAAAAAGCAGATAGCATCATGATTGGGAAAAGCACTCTTTCTTTTATATATTTGCACAATTACCTATTTATGAACATATATAGAATGATATTATAGACCTAGGATCAAATATTCCAGTCATATCAACAAATGTAAATGTGGTGAACTCATCTAATATATAAAAAGATTTTCATATTAGCACTCAAAGTAAAATACAACCTGATAAGGTACAAAAGAGAATCACCTAAAACAAAATGACTCAGAAGTATTAAAATTAAAGGATTGGTAGAAATTTGCAAAGAGGCTGTTAAGGACTGAACTGTGTTTCCCCACAAAATTAGTATGTTAAAGTCCTAACTCCCAGTACCTCAAAAGGAGACTGTATTTGGAGATAGGGCCTTTAAAGAAGTAATTAAGGTAAAATGACATCATTTGGGGTAAACATGTATCCTCTATGATGTCCTTATAAGAGAAAATTAGGACGTACATGCAAAAAGGGAAGACCATGTGAAGACACAGGGAGAAGAGTTCGATCTACAAGCTAAGGAGAGAGATCTCAGAAGAAACCAACACCTTGATACTGGACTTCCAGCTTTCAAGATTGTAAGGAAAAATTTCTCTTGTTTAAGACATACCATTTGCAGTATTCATTACAGCAGAACTAGCAAACTAATACGAAGACCATTGCTCTGACACTCACAATATGAACAAGCCAGATAAACTACAATTTGTATTATAGTATTTTTTAAATCCATCAGAACTGAGGATGCAAAGAGATACAAAATAATAAATTTTCTTCTTAGGAAAGAAAATATTCAGTTTTTGTTCCTTCTTAGTAGAGCTATAGGGTCTACAGAGATACATTCCAGACAGAATAAAAAGAATAGCCAAATTTTTGATCAAACTTTTGATGGCCAAGTATGGCCTGGTATATGGGTTATAATCACTAGGAATACCAAACACAAAGTGAGTCTTCCCTGCTAGCCTACTCTTCCAACAGATCTTTGCTGCATACACAGGATAAAAGGCTATAGGAAGGGCAGGAGGGCCGGGGGAGATTTCCCCTGAGGTTCACTTGAACTTCTTCAAGAGTAAAGCAGCAGGCTAGAGAAAGCCATGAGTAAGGTACAACTGCTGAATGAAATCCTTTCAAAGCACTCCAAAAGATAGGAAGAGACAGTAGAGAGGAGATAGACATCCCAAAATGCAGAAAGTAGACAGTAGAAATTGAGAAAGGATAACTCCCCATGACCCAACAAGCTAGAATCCATGGAGTAAGACAAACAGGGAACTCTCCCCTAGTTCAGGAAGTTGACTGGGCTGAATAGCATAAATAGAATTTCCCAGAGAAAGCAAAGTCCTGAACCCATCTTCAGAATATTTGTAACCAATGGGGAACTAAATCAAGGTAAAGAGGCAACACAACCCAGACCCAGCCCAGCTACGGGTTAGACTGATTTAGCCACACACATGTAATGTTACAGGAGAATGGAGTGGCCTTTTTTGGAGGTAAATATTTACGAGTTTCTAATTTTTTTTACACAGTGTTCAGCATACAATAAAATAATCACAAGATATGTGAAAAAAGAAGAAAATGAGAGGAAATAATAGAAGATGTACAGATAATCTAGATAATAGAATTATCAGATCAGACAGGGACAGTAAAATAACCATGATAATTTTGCTTTTTAACATTTCTATTCTTCAATTGACAAATAAAAATTGTATATATTTATCATTACAGCATGTTGTTCTGAAATATGTATACGTTGTGGAATAGCTAAATTAAACTAGTTAACATTGCATTACTTTAAAACATAGTAGAAAAGATGAAAATGCATAGATGAGAAATTTCAGTAGATAAATTATAAACAAAAAGGAACTAAGTTGAGATTCCAGAACTAAATTATGCAAAATAATAAATAAAAAATGCATTCAATGAAGTTAACAGCACACCAGACACAGCGGAAGAAACATAGCAGAGTTCAAGAAGGGTGAATAGAAAGTATCCAATCTAAAACAGATAAAAAGAGTGAAAAAACTAGAGTACCTGAGATCTGTAAGACAATATTAAACATTTCAATTGGCATGTAGTTGGAATCTCAGAAGAGAGACATTGTGACAGAGGAAATGTTTTAAGTGATAACCAAATATGTACAAATTATATGAAAAGATTAAGAAAACTGTAATAGGTAATTAGTAAAACTTATAAAAACTAAATTAATGGAAAAATTTTAAAAGCAGACAGAAGAAAAAAATATGAAACGAAGAATCACAGCTGATTTCTGTTAAGTGACAAAAGCAAGGTACAGAAAAGCACGTAAAATATTTACATGCTTTTGTAAGAAAGGACAGAAGGAAATAAGAGAAGATGATAGATGATTAGATACATAGACAGACACATACATACATACATAGAATGGTTGAATGTCCTTAAATTGGTTATAACTTACTCTGTGTCAGAAATAGCATGAAGAAACCATAACATGGTAACAGTAATGTGATAGTGATTGAGGATCACATAAAATCTTTGTGAGTTCACAACTAGAAACAAGCTGTGACAAGAATATCTTGAAAAGAAAAAAAAAGAACTCAACTTTAAGAAATAAGATTTAATAACAGAAATGGTAGCCTTTTTCCTTAATGATATGCATTGGTTTTACTACTAGTCTCTCTAATGCCCATGTAATTAAATAAATCAACAGTTTGATATTTTCTCTTCAAAAGAACAATGAATAGTATGCTCGTTTTATTAAATATGACTTTATTGTGTTATTATTACAAAAACAATATACATTCATAAAAGAAACACAAGAAATAAAGCTAAGTGAAAGTTAATAATAAAATAATTAACACCCATGGCCATACTACCAAGATATCACTGTGGATTATATCTTCCTATAGGTATGTAGGTAGGTAAGTAGGTATATAGGCAGGTAGATGGATGATGAGAGATAATAATAGATAATAGATGGATGGATAACTACAAATATTAATATCTATATAGTGGGACATTGATGAAGATAGAAAGATAGAGGTTATCTTTCTAAAACTGAATTATACTACACTACACTACATCTGATTTTAAATAAATAAAATCATGAAGAATTTCCTTTGCGAGGACCTCTTGTCATTTTCAGGGACCAAGACATCAGCGTTATCATTTCTGTAAAAGCCCACTGAAATCAGTAACAAAGGTCTCCTTCTAAATGTGTGTGAATTGCTTTCACTTACAACTTCAGGAAAGAAAACCTGCCAGGACATTCCTAAGAGTAAAATCCATGCTTCTTTTCACTAAATCCAAACCATTGAATTAGTGTAGACCAAGACAAACACAAAATATCACAATAATGCTTTGGGGTATATACGCTTCATTAAAGATAATCCACTACAATATGACAAAACATAAGGTAGCTATTCTTTCTGCAGCAACACAGATGAAGACTTTATTTTAAACCCATAGCAGATTGAATTTTTGCATGATGTTTTCTTTATACTGCCTTGCTTAATCTGGAAATACATTAAAACACTCATCCACCTGCTGTGCTGGTTTCAGCTGTTGCAAATTGATGATTAGCTTCCTCCTGACAATATTTTCTTCTCACAAAATTTTAAAACTGACTGAAACAATGTTAAAATTCTGAAATGGAAAATACAACTTATTTAACACTTTAAAACTATTTTACCTTTAAATCATTTGAATAAGATAAAACTATTAAGATTAGAAAACATTAATTAGGTGTTAACTTTTAATGTTTTATTCTTCTAGATGAAATTCATAACATTATCATCCCAAAGCCAGGTAAATAGGCATAATTATTAGCTGCAATTGCCTCCATTAAATGCCATCACAAAATGTGTAATGTTGGTAGCAGTCTCAGAATTTGCTGGTAACTTAAGGCAAGCTTGGTTATCAAAAATTCAAACAGACTTTTTACTTTCTCTGCTATCTGACTTAAAGGATAAGTATTTTCTTTTAGTCAAATTTAATTTTTGTATTTAAAATTTAATGAGTTGATTAAAAGAAAATCATGTAGATTAAAAAAAAATTCTTATATCCAGAAGGTTCTAAGCAAGGGTTGGCAAACTATGACTTACGGACAATTGCCTCTTTTTGTAAATAAAATGTTATCAGAGCACAGCCATACTCATTCATTTCTATATTGTCATTGGCAGATTTTACTGGACAGCAAAGTTGAGCAATTGCCACCAATAATTTATATCTTTCAAGCCTAAAATATACTATCTAACCCTTTAAGAAAAGGTTTGCCAATTCTTGGATTAAATAAAGAGTTTCAAGCCAACTCTGACCCCTATCACATCATACTTTTTAATGTGTTAAGAAAGAGAAAAAATAAAAGAAGGTATAAAAACATAACATGGTCTCCAGTTTGAATCAGTTGCTGGATTTTGTTTGTTTTAAACTGCACCTCAGCATTCAGCATTTCACTTGTCCCTTTAACTGACCCTGATCTGGTACGAATTTTCTTCTTAGCACTGAAATGTGCTCCATCACAAATTTCTGATTACCATTTTGATTAAAATATCCACCATTTTTACTGACAGTATCTCACACCTGTTCTTATTTTTATTCATATCCTTTGTATTTCCTACAACATTAAGACTAAAGAACATTCTAAGATCATTTATGGTTGAAAATTATTTCCTTATAGAATTCTACAAGTTCCTATGGGTAGGCAGTCATAGTGGTCTTGGCAAACTGAATATGCCCTAACTGATGAGCCTCCTTGATTACTCATGCTGACTCACTTGTATGAGACTCAAAATCTTTGGATTATCTTACAAATTTTAATGGGGAAGATTTTTTTTTTTTTTTTTTGAGATGGAGTTTTGCTCTGTTGCCCAGGCTGGAGTGTGGTGGTATGATCTCAGCTCACTGCAACCTCCACCTCCAGGATTCAAGTGATTTTCCTGCCTCAGCCTCCCAAGTAGCTGGGATTACAGGCATGCGCCACCATGCACAGCTAATTTTGTATTTTTAGTAGAGACGGGGTTTCTCCATGTTGGTCAGGCTGGTTTTGAACTCCCAACCTCAGGTGATCCACCAGCCTTGGCCTCCCAAAGTACTGGGATTATAGGCATGAGCCACCGCACCGGGCTTGGGAAGAATATTATGATTGAGTACTCATTGCTATTGTGAGATTAATAAGTAGCTGTAGAAGATAAACTAGTCACACACTGCATTTTTTACATTTCATTTGACAACAAATTTAGAAAATAACTCCAATAAGAATAACAGAACAGAATTAGAGAATGACAGAAAAACAAGTCCAAATTCACAAAAATCCTTCAGAGACATTTTTTAGTGAATTCTAGTTCTGTGGGTTCCAAACCTTACTACATACTGGATCACCTAGGAAATGTACACGACAAAATAACCTAAATACAGTGGGTGGGCTCTCCCCATAAAATTCTGATTCAGTAGCTCTCTTGTGGTATTCTGGGGTATATAGTTTTAACAAACATCTCATGTTGTTATGATAGATGGATATGGACAGATATTTGGAAACATGATACAGTTGTTTTCAATACTATAACACTAAGGAATGATAGTCATATCTGGTTATTTGTTTGTTCATTCCCAAGCAGCAATGTTTTGCAATTAGCTTGTGTGAGGGTTAATTTTATGTGTCAATTTGACTGGGCCATGGGGTGCCCAGATATTTGGTCAAAAATTCTGGGTGCTTCTTTGATGGTGTTTTTTAATGAGATTCACATTTAAGTTGGTAGACTGAGTAAAGCAGATTTCCCTTCATGATGTGGGTGGATCTCATCAAATCAGTGGAAGACCCAAATAGATGAAGGATGACTCTTCCCTCGGAAAAAGAGAACGTTCCTGCATGATGGCTTTTAAATGAGGATATCAACTCTTCCTGGTTCTACAGCAGCCTTTAGACTTGAACAGGGACATTGGCTCTACAGATTTTGGACTTACTAGCCTCCATGATGATGTGAGCCAGTTCCCTATAATATATCCTTTAGGAATATAGACAAATAGATAAATATCCTATTGGTTTTGTTTATCTGGAGAACCTCGACTAATACACTACGGAAAAGAGGAAAATCAATCCCTCTAAAAGTCTACAATCCTACTATTACACTGACCTTTAAGTTTAAAAAAAAAAAAAAGAAGGCCCACAATCTTTCATTGTTATTCAGCTTTATCACTGTCAAGCCCAATGATCCTGGACAATTCTCTTGGATCTTGTATTCTTCCATTTTCTCACCTGTTAAATGTTAAGGATACCCCCCTGTCTACCTCACAGAATTATGAGGGCATATACCATATACCTTGAAGAAAGTAAAGGAGAAATATGAGAGTAAACATGGCTCATTGAGCACGCATTCAGTTCCACTACCTCTGAAGTGAGAATAATAGCAGCAGGGTATCTTTAAAGAATTATACCATTAAAAACAAAGGGAAATGAAGAAGAGATTATACCAGCAAAATTTAAGAAGCTGGAAAGCAGAAGGTTCAGTGGTAAATGATTTAGCCACACAAGGGAAAGCCAAATCCTAAATAAGCATGTAAAGTTCATGTGTAACCCAATTTGCATGGCAGAATTCTCAAAAGGTTCAAGACTGAGTGAAAGTGGAGGTAAAATTAGGACAAAAAAATGGAAGATGAAAAAAAAAAAAGCAGAAGGAGTGGTTGACAGTTTTAAGACCTAATAAGTCCCAGAACACTTTTAACCAGATAACCACCGCTCCCCTCCTCCATTAGAAAAATGGAAGTTTATTCTCAAGAAAGGACCTTGGGACTAGGGGACCCCAGGCACTATGGAAGGTGAGATTACCATATAAAATCAAGGGAACATTTCATACCAAATATTGCAAGTTCCAGCTCAATTCTCCAAATCATCTCACAAAAGACTAGCAGCTAAGCTTATACTCTATGGACAGATAAATGAAAGATTCTTTATACTGAATCTGACCAGACCAAGAGAAAGAAACCTCAAGAAGTTCCCCAACTAACATGCCAATCAGATACCCAACAGTGCATTCATAGTCTCCTACCTCTTCCAAGTACACAGAGCTTGCAGTCAGCACATTAGCCCCTCAGAAAACACCTGTAGAAAGTCTCTAATGGGAAAGGCAGACAGAAACAGAGAACAAATAAAACTAGGAATAACCAGCATCGATACAGAGAGAAGGAAAGCTTTAAAAACTATAATTAGGTCTATGATGGATATGTAAAGTGGAATATGTTTATATAATTAAGTTTCTGATTAACTTCCATCATAATTTCAGAGATTTAACATTCCAGTTTTTGAACTATGAAAATATTCTGCTCAAGAACATAATAAAATAACATCACACCATTCACCATAATACATCCCTTCATAAACTCAGCAGTATATATGTATTTAATTATCTCACACAAGCATGAGACTAATCTGATTGAACAATGAAAGCAAGGCAAAAAATGTTCTAAAGGAAGCATTTTCTGTTATACTCAAAGCTAATTCCAATTGGGACATTTGTTTATGACACATATAGGGAGAAATTTGAATATACATATTTGAATATATATGCAGACACACCTCATCTTAATGCATTTCCCTTTATTGCACTTCACAGATACTACGTAAATTACAAATTGAAGGTTCTTTGTGACCCTGTGTCAAGCCTATTGGTGCCATTTTTCCAACAGCATGTGCTTACTTCATACCTCTGTGTCATATTTTGGTAATTTCCACAATATTTCAAACTTCTTCATTATTAGTATACATGATATGGTGATTTGTGATCAGTGAGCGGTTGTGACCAGGGAATGGTTACAGCAGGCCTTGGATGAGACCCAGTGCTGTGCAGGTCTCAGGTCTGACCCAGTGCAGCCGTAGTTGTGGTGGCCACAGCAGTGCCTGTGTTACTCCACCCTCAGCATTAGGTGGCTCAGAACAGAAACAAGGGCTCCATTTGTTTGGGGGAAAAAAAAGGGAAAAGAAGAAGAGTCTCCACCTGGTAATCCAGAGAATTCTTCTGGGTTTTGTTCAAGATCCTCAAGGTGGTACCCTCTACAAATCTGCAAGAACCACAGTGTTACTTGGCCTTGGGTACCCCTCCAAAGCAAATACACCTTAGATCACAATATCCAAGTTCTTTCAAATATCTTCAAAGCCTTCTCAAGAAGGATGGGTATAAACAAGCCCAGATAGTGAACATTACAATAAATACTAAACACTTCAATACCCAGATACTGAGGAACATCAACAAGCATAAGCACCATCCAGGAAAACATGACCTCACCAAATGAACTAAGCAAGGCACCAGGGACCAATCCTGGAGAAACAGAGATATTTGACCTTTCAGACAGAGAATGCAAAATAGCTATGTTGAGGAAACTCAAAGAAATTTAAGTTAACAGAGAAAAGGAATTCAGAATTTGATCAGATAGATTTAACCAAGAGACTGAAATAATTTAAAAGAACCGAGCAAAAATTTTGGAGCTGAAAAATGCACTTGTCACACTGAAGAATGCATCGGAGTCTTTTAATAGCAGAATTGATCAAGCAGAAGAAAGAATTAGTGAGCTTGAAGACAGACTATCTGAAAATACAGTCAGAAGAGACAAAAAAAGAATAAAAAACAATAAAGCACGTCTACAGAATTTTGAAAACAGCCTCAAAAAAGCAAATCTAAGAGCTATTGGCATTAAAGAGGAGGTAGAGAAATATACGGGTAGAAAGTTTGTTCAAAGGGATAATATCAGAGAATTTCCCAAAACTAGAAAAAGATATTAGTATCCAAATGCAAGAAGCTTATAGAACACAAAGCTTCTATAATACAAAAGCTTCTATAACACAAAAATTTGTGTTATAGACACAAATTTAACCCAAGGAAGATACCTCAAGGCATTTAATAATCAAACTGCCACAGATCAAGAAGAAAGAAAGGATTCTAAAAGCAGCAAGAGAAAAGAAACAAATAACTTACACTGGAACTCCAAAATATCTGGCAGCAGACTTCTCAGTGAAAGTTTACAGACCAGGAGAGAGTGGCATGGCATATATAAAAAACTGATGGAAAAAGATTTTTTATTCTAGAATATATCTCCAGTGAAGATATCCTCCAAACCTGACAGAGAAATAAAGACGTTACCAGGCAAACAAAAGCTGAGGAATTTCATCAACATCTGACCAGTCCTACAAGAAATGCTAAAGGGAGTACTTCGATAAGAAAGAAAAGGCCATTAATGAGCAATAAATAATCACCTGAAGGTACAAAACTCACTGCTAATAGTAAGCGTACAGAAAAACACAGACTATTATAACAGTGTAACTGTGGTGTGTAAACTATTTTTATGCTAAGTAGAAAGGCTAAACAATGAACAAAAAATAACTACAATAACTTTAAGACATGAACAGTAGAATAAGATATAAATAGAAACAACAAAAAGTATAAAAGTGGGGGGATGAAGTTAAGGCATAGAGTCTTTATTAGTTTTCTTTCAGCTTGTTTGTTTATGCAAACAGTGTTAAGTTTTTATTAGGTTAAAATAATGGGTTACAAAATAACCAAGCCTCATGGTAACCTCAAATCAAAAAACATAAAATAGGTACATGAAAAATAAAAAGCAAGAAACTAACATATCACCAGAGAAAACTGTGTTTACTAAAGGAAGACAAAAAGGAAAGAGAAGACTATAAATAAACCAGAAAACAAATAACAAAATGGCAGGAGTAAGTCCTTACTTATCAATAACAACATAGAATGTAAATGGACTAAACTGGCCAGTCAAAAGACCTAGACTGGCTGAATGGATGAAAAAAACAAGACCCAGTGATGTGTTTCCCACAAGAAACAAAGTTCACCTATAAAGATACACGTAGACTGAAAATAAAGAGTTGGAAAAATATATTCCATGCCAATGGAAACCAAAAAACAGCAGGGGTGGCTTTACTTATATTAGACAAAATAGATTTCAAGACAAAAACTATAAAAAAAGATAAAGAAGGTCACTATATCGTGATAAAGGGGTCAATTCAGAAAGAGGATATAACAATTTTAAATATATATGCACCCAACACTGGAGTGCCCAGATATATAAAGAAAATATTATTAGAGCTAAAGAGAGAGATAGGCCCCAATACAGTAATAGCTGGAGACTTTAACACCTCACTTTCAGCATTGGACACATCTTCCAGACAGAAAGCTAATCAAGAAACATTGGACTTAATCTATACTATAGGCCAAATGGATCTAATAAGTATTTACAGAATATTTTAGCCAAAAGCTGCAGAATCTACATTCTTTTCCTCAGCACATGAATTATTCTCAAGGATAGATCATATATTAGGTCAAAAAACAAGTCCTAAAACACTCAAAAAATCTAAAATAATATCAAGCATTTTCTCTGTCCACAGTGGAATAAACTAAAAATTAATAACAGGAGAAATTTTGAAAACTGTACAAATACAAGGAATTAAACAATATGCTCTTGAATAACCAGTGAGTTGAGAGAAATTAAGAGGGAAATTGAAAAATTTTTGAAACAAATGATAATGGAAACACAACATGCCAAAACCTATGGGATACAGCAAAAACAATACTAAAAGTTTATATCTGTAATTGTCTACATCAAAAAAGAATAAAAACTTAAAATAAACAATCTAATGATGCCTCTTAAAGGACTAGAAAAGCAAGAGCAAACCAAACCCAAAACTTGTAGAATAAAATAATAAAGATAACAGCAGAAATAAATGAATTTTAAATGAAGAAAACAATACAAAAGATCAATGAAACAAAAAAGTTGTTTTTTTGAAAAGGTAAACAAATTTGACAAACATTTAAGCCAGACTAAGAAAAAAAAGAGAGAAGACGGAAATCAATAAAATCAGAAATTAAAAGGGAGACATTACAACTGATACTGCAGAAATTCGTATGCCAATAAATTGAAAACTTAGAAGAAATGAACAAATTCATAGAGACATACAACCTCCCAAGATTGAACCAAAAAAAATCTAAAACCTAAGATTGAAGTCATAATAAAAGGAAAAGAAAAGCCCAGGATCCAATGGTTTCACTGCTGAATTCTACCTAACATTTTAAAGAGGAACTGATACCAATCCTACTGAAACTATTACAAAAAATAGAGAACAGAATATTCATTCTGTGAGGCCAGTACTACCCTGATACAAAACCAGACAAAGACACGTCAAAAGAAGAAAAATACAGACCAATATCTCTGATGAATATTGATGAAAAAATCTTGAACAAAATACTAGCAAAGCAAATTCAACAGTACATTAAAAGATCATTGATTGTGACCAAGTCATATTTATCCCTGGGATGCAAGGATGGTTCAACATACACAAATTAATCAATGTGATACTCATATCAACAGAATGAAAAAACTATATGATCATTTCAACTGATGCTGAAAAAGCATTTGATATAACTTGACACCTTTTCATGATAAAAAAAAATCTAAAAAAACTAGGTATAGAAGGAATATAACGTAATAAAAGCCATATACAATAGACCCACAGCTAGTGTAATACTGAATAGGGAAAAACTGAAAGCCTTTCCCCTAAGATCTGGAACATGACAAGGATGCCTACTTTCACCACTGTTATTCAACATAGTACTGGAAGTCTTAGCTAGAGCAATCGGACAAGAAAGAAATAAAGGACATTGAAATTGGAATGGAAGAAGTCAAATTATCCTTGTTTGCAGATAACATGATGTTATATTTGGAAAAACCTAGACTCCACACACAAAAAAAATTTAGTACTGATAAACAAATTCAATAAAGTTGTAAAATATAAAATCAACATATGAAAATCAGTAGCATTTCTATATGCCAAGAGTGAGCAATCTGAAAACGAGATTTAAAAAGTAATCCCATTTACAATAGCCACAAATAAAATTGTATACATAGGACTTGATTTAATCAAAAAAGTGAAAAATCTCTACAATAAAAATTATAAAACACTGATAAACAAAATTGAAGAAAACATCAAAAAAGAAAAATATTCCATGTTTATGGATTGGAATAATTAATATTGTTAAATTGCCCATACTACCCAAAGCAATCTACAAATTCAATGTAATCCCTATCAAAATAACAATAAAATTCTCCACAGAAATACAAAATACAATTCTAAAATTTATATGGAAACATAAAAGACCCAGAATACCCAAAGCATTCTGAACAAAAAGAACAAAACAGGAGGAATCACATTACCTGACTTCAAATTATACTATAGAGCTATAGTAACCAAAGTGGCATGATACTGGTATAAAAACAGACACATAAACCAATGGAATAGAATAGAGAACCCAGAAATAAATTCACACACCTACAGTGAATTCATTTTTGACAAAGTTACCAAAAGCAAAAAAGACAGTCTCTTCAATAAATGATGCTGGGAAAACTGGATATCTATATGTAGAAGAATGAAACTAGACCCCTATCTCTTGCCATATACCAAAATCAAATAAAAAAGACTTAAATCTAATACCTCAAACTATGAAACTACTACAATAAAAAATTTTGGAAAATCTCCAGGACATTGGTCTGGGCAAAAATCTGAGCAATACCCCCACAAGCACAGGCAACCAAAACAAAATTGGAGAAATGGGATTACATCAAGTTAAAAAGCTTCTGCACAGCAGAGAATACAATCATGAAAGTGAAGAGACAACCCACAGAATGGGAGAAAATATCTTCGAATTATCCATCTGACAAGAATGTGTAAAGAACTCAAACAACTCTACATGAAAACAATCTAATAATCTGATCAAAAAATGGGCAAAAGATCTGAACAGACATTTCTCAAAAGAAGGCTTAAAAATGCAAAACAGACATAAAAAGGTACTCAATATTATTGGTCATCAGAAAAATGCAAATCAAAACTACAATCATCTCACCCTAGTTAAAATGGCTTACATCCAAAAGACAGGCAATAACAAGTGCTGGCAAAGATGTAGAGAAAAGGAAACCTTTGTACACTCTTGGTGAGGATGTTAAATCAGTACAACCATTATGGATAACATTTGGAGATTCCTCAAAAAAACCCTAAAAATCGAGCTACCATATGATCTAGCAATTTCACTACTGGGTATATACCTGAAAGAAAGGAAATCAGTATATTGAAGAGATATCTGCACTCCCATGTTTGTTGTAGCACTGTTCACAATAGCTAAGATTTGGAAGCAACCTAAGTGTCCATCAACAGCTTAATGAATAGAGAAAATGTGGGTACATAAACATGATGGAGTACTATTCAGCCACAAAAAAGAATGAGATCCATTCATTTGCAACAACATGGTTGGAACCGGAGATCATTATGTTATGTGAAATAACCCAGTCACAGAAAGACAACATCGCATGTATCACTTATTTGTGGGATCTAAAAATCAAACAATTGAACTCATGGACATAGAGAGTAGAAGGATGGTTACCAGAGGTTGGGAGGGGCAGTGGGGGGCTGCAGGGGAGGTGGGGATGGTTAACAGGTTAAAAAAATGTTCAGAAAGAATGAATGACATGCTATGTGATCTCACTTCAAGGTTTACTATAGTCAATAATAGCTGAACTGTACATTTTTGAATAACTAAAAGAGTGCAACTGGATTGTTGATAACACAAAGGATAAATGCTTGAGGGGATGGATACCATATTCTACATGATGTGCTTGTTTCACATTCCATGCCTGTATCAAAATATTTCATGTACCATGCAAATACATATAACTACTGTGTATTCACAGATTTTATATATGTGTGTATACATATGTATATATGGCACAGAGCAAGTTGAAGAAGAAAGAGATGTCTCTTTGCAAGTACAATATCTTTATTACAAATTTTACCAAAGGTGTATCATTATACAAAGACATTGTTAGGGCTCTCTCAGAGTTTTGAAAGGGGTCCATGCAGGGGCCTATAGATTAAGCTTCACTGATCTGATTTTGTCATGTCAGTTTCTGTTTATACTTGCAACTATAAAGAAAATAATGACTTTTGGTTGAAGAAAATGTGGAGAAGGAACAGAGAGGCATATTTTTAAATTAGTAGCAATCATATTGGTAGCATTAGCATTGCTATTTTAAGACTGCTGTATGAGTGTTGTGGATTAAAGTAAATGAGTAATGATGGAAAATTTGTATCATATTATCTTCCATAGGTCCTGAAGAGCCAGGATTCTCAGTGTAGAAGAGAGTAGATACAGGTGTAATACCGAAGCCAGCCAATAAATAATCCTATCATTCTGATTTTAATTTGGAAGTGTCAGTAAGAACTCATAAGTATTTCATCTTTAAAATATTATCTATGAATATACTCTTAGTTCTATCTACCAAGGAGGCCTGAAAACAATGACCAATCTAAGAGCAAAAGTCATCCCTTAAGCCTAGATTGTGAGCTTGAAATACCATTTTCCACTAAATGAATTCAGGGATTCTTAGATAACAAATGTAAAAGGTATATATCTAAGACTTTTATCATACCAAATAGTAAAAAAGCTACCAGACACTAATAGGGTCATGTTAAGGCAGTCAGAGGGTCATGTTAAGGCAGTCAGAAGCTCATGTTAAGAAATTTCTACTGGCCAAAATGAGACAATTAGTCTTTAAAAAGACTAAAACTGAAATGAATTTAAATCTGTCAAATATGCCTAAATATGAGATTATCATATTAAAATATAAAATTAATTATCTTTGAAAAATAACAGAAAATCTATTTGTTATCTTGAAGACAAAATAAAAGGAAAGAATCAAAACAGATCCTATCTATCCTATCTGACTATAAAACTGGGTAACTAAATAGTAGATGAGGGTAAACATCCTAAGAGTATTTCAACTACAAATAAAAAAGACAAAATAAAATGTCATCATTTTTCACACACCAATAAATTAATATGTCTAAGCTTTGAGCTGTTTATACTGTATTTCTAAAAACAGAACCAGACATCGTTATGTGCCTCCTGATGAAAGAACAGGATACACTACATGCAGTTGTGCCAAAACAATCAAACGTAAGTCTGATCCAGCCTTTAGAACCAGCCACGAATTTGTGGGAAATTCAGAGGACAGAAAAAACATGTTGAGCACTTACATGAGTTTACAACTTTAAAAATCCAGTCTGTGAGAAACTCTGTAGGTTCAACACTCCTGATTATTTAACATAAAAAGTGAAAAGAAAAAAAAAATGGAAGCGAAACTTTTAGATTAAAAGAAAATGTATTTTTTTTTTATTAAGAACAGACAAGACTCATCTATAGCATTAAGGATATGCAGTTGGGTGATAAAACCGAAAAGCAACAAAAAAAGATTACTATAAAAATCAGGATAAACTCCAAATAGATACTTTAAAATTCTAAAATCATAAACAAAGTAAATTCCAAATGGGTAAATACCTAATTACAGTTTTTAAAATGTCTAGCACGTTGTGAAAAAAATTATGATAAGGTGCTAGGAAAAGATTTCTGTACGATATGAGAATAATATCATTTTCTTAAATAAGCCAACCAAAGAACAATACAATAAATGAAGGCGATAAATTTGACTCTTATCAAAATTAAGTATGTTCACCAGTCATTACACACCATAAAGTTTAATGATAAGCCATATCCTTAGTATTTGCAATGTGTAAAAGCTTGGTATCCATGATATAAAAAGAATAGTTATAAAGCAATAAGTTTTTTTAAATATAAAAATAGGCAAAGGTTAAGAAGAGGCGATTTACAGAGAAGAACACACATGGCATATAAGCTACATGAAAAGATGCTCAACAGTGCTGGTAATCAGTGAGATAACATACATATAACATTCCATATTCACCAGAATGGCAAAAACAAAATTTTGATAATACATATCTTGGCAGGGTTGTCCTAAAACAAGTGCTATAGAAAAAGTACATTAGAACCACCACTTTAGAGAATAACTAGATAATTATCCAGCAATATCTAGCAAAAGTTGTGATTAGAACAAGGCAAATAAGGAGTTTCTGGAATGCCAACATGTTATTTTTCTTGACGTGGGTGTTAATTTTGTGATAGTCATTGAAATGTACATTCATTTTTGTGTACCATTCAATATTGCTCTACTTCATTATTTTAAAAAGATTTTAATTAAACAGAAATCTATTAGAGGTATTCATGAGGAAAATGTTCTCTTTCCTTCTCCTTTTCTTTCTCCCTTGGATTCAGGAAGCTGTAGCTAGAGCTGCAATGGCCATGTTGCGACCATGAAAAAAAGGCCAAGAGATCTGCAAAGAAATGAGCCCTGACTTATTCCACTGCTGAACTAATATCAGCAATTGCCTGCCTTGAACGTCTTGTTATGTGATCAAAGTAAGTCGTCATTTGTTAAAAAGGAAGAGATGGATGAGGGTAAAGTAGTGTGGTAGAATTTAGTGCTTTTGGTAACATACAATGAGATTCTTGTATGTCAGTTTTCCCATCAGGGTAAAATAAGGATAACAATAACTGATTTATAGGGCCATTAAAAAGATTAAATAAGAAAAAAGTAAGTTAAATATGAAGCATAGTGCCTGACATATGATAGGCAATGACAGTGTTAATTTCTATTACTCTAATAACACCAATTGGAAAACAGGAGACCTTAAATATCAGTCATTCACAAATGAAATGTTTCGTACTGTTTCTGAGTTGTTTTCTGTTTTGGTTTAGTATCCTTGATATTGGTGAACACAGCTAAATGCTAAATGTATGTGGATATGGGGGAGGTGGGGATGTTCCCTGAGGATACTTAAATTTTACGTCATATGCTTCAAATCAGGGATCCAGTCTCTATCAGTCTTTACTTACGCTGTACTGTGATAGAGGAAAAGGCAAACATTAAACATGAATGTACTACACTAAGATGTCTTAATAAATTTCTAAATTATGACTTTCCTATTTGTCTTACCCTTATGCAATCTGTTACCACACAGATGGATGAACATAAAGCTGATTTATTCTCTGTCAATTTTTCATATCCTTTAAGAGTTCTCCTGATTTTAGATATTCTCATTTAAATTTTTTGAAGAGTTTCTCCTAACTCAAAGCCAGATGTTAATGTTTATAGAATAAGAATTGCTTAAATTTTTTCTCAAACTGAGGTCTCTTGACCTAAAGTAAAAGCATGATTTTACTGAATGGTTTGGGCATTTTTTAGTTGCCTAAGTATGCATGATCTTCATTTCCTTTCTGTTTTCAGCTCTTCTGTTTCTCAGCAGTTTCTTCTTCCTTGAAGAACTTGGAGTGACATTAGCTAAAGAAGTGAACAAAACCTCCCCTCACTTATATTTCACGAACTGTCTGCTGAGCAGAGTGAAAGAGGTAACTGTGATGCTACATGTTCTAGTGGAAGTTCAGTGCAGTTATAGTTGAACAAGAACTCAACAGAACAAAACCATCATTTTGTTCCATCGGATAGTCTTTGATATTCCCCACTGTATCATATTGATGAATGCCAAATGACTCCCAAACTTGCCCTAAGACCTTCACTGACCTTTCAATTTCTAACTGTATTGTGAAGCACTTTAGGGGGTCTTGACTTCATGCTTTGTCAGACTAGCTCTTTTCGTGAATGAAGTTCATGCATATGGCAGTACAATAGACACTATTAAGTCGCCCAGATGATATATCAGAGATGCATTTTTAAAGGATTGTTAAAGGTAAGAGATATTATACATATAAGAAGAGACCATCTCCTTGATCCATAGGACAGAAGTTCTTTAGAAAGACAACTAAGCCATGAATACATTCCAACATCAAAACCCAAGAGCTAATCCTGTGGAAAATTATAAAAATAAAAGACTGATGGGAAAAACTGGTAGGAACTGCTTTCATTGACAATAGCAGGTATGTGAACCAGAAGACACATTATCAGAGAATACACACACACACACCCCTCCTTCATGTTCCTATACACTCCACACATTAGATTCTGAAAAGCTATTCATTAGAAAATCCCATGTTTGTTAAGTTCAAAGTAACACTATGCAAAAGACTTGAAAATATTAGCAGATTTAATATCTTTTTACTGTGAATTACGAATGCATTGAAATAATTAAGAGATCTTAACTAGATATTCCACCAGCACACCACCATAATTAATGGAGGCTAGAACATGTCTATTAAATCCCCTGGAAAAAAGGTTTTCAGTTTCCTGATCTACAATTTGTCCATTGTTCTGCCCAAATCCTTCAGGTTCCTTCAAGGCTAGGATTGTCCCTACTTTACTCTTGGCCTCAATTGCCAAGAGACTAATGCCCATGGCTCTTGACAAAGAAAACAATCATTTAAAGGTATTTAACCTAATCGAGAGTCGTGAGAATGGAGCCAACTACACAGCCATATATGAAGTCTGCTAAAAACAGAACAAATGGGCAAGTGCTCAGGTCCTCACCAAAGCAAAGCCTTAAATGATGAAGTCAAATATAATCTGGGAGAATATCAGAATACATTACTTTTGAAAGAAAAGTCTAAGAATTATAAACATGAAGGAAAAACGGGGAGAAAGGTGCAAGAATTACATTGACTACTACACAAAAGACTCAAAGGGCCCTAATATGACTGTCATGTAGGTTCACATAAATTCTACACATATCTCTGATTATTACTTTCCTCTAGGTCAAGAGACCCCAGTTAGCAAAACACTTAAGCAATTCTCATTTCATAAACATTAACATCTGGCTTTGAGTTAGAAGAAATTCTTTCAAACATTTAAATGAGAATATTTAAAATATTCTGGGTGCACTTTTTCATTAGAGGCTCCCACAAAATTGCCACAAACAATATTTAACTGCTTTGTTTTAAATTTTGAAACTCTTGTAAAAATATTTTTACACAGAATTGTAAGATTTTTTAATATACCCCAAAGATATTTGCATTTTTGTTGTTTCATTTAACTTGGTTTAAAATTTAAAGTAATACATCATTTTTTAAAAAGCAAAAAAGTCAAACATTATGAATGGTATAATTTTACTTTGTGAAATTTTAAAAATTGTATACAGATAATACATTGTGGAAGGATACAAAAGAAACTGCCAATAGTAGCGCTCTAATAGTGGCTGTTAAACAAGGTTTGATGGCTCAGGAAAACTCACAGAACCCACAATGACAATGCTTACAAGTTTACAGGGTGTATTTTGCAGGAAAAGGATATAACATAACAATGACAGTAAGAAAGACTATGCATGTCAGACGAAGGCTGTCTCTCTTGCATCAGGAACCACCAATGCGTGGTTCCTGACTGGAACCAGAGAGCATAAAATGGAGTCTCCAATGAGGTTTTTTTCTTTTTTCCTTTGCTATTCACATAGGCATAGTCCTACTATATAATCAGCATCAATAGCAGAGGCCTCCGGGGGTCTCACTGAGACTAGGTGCCAATTGTTAGTCTCACTGTTATCAACAGTGCTGACAAGTTGATACTCACCACTGAAAAACTCTGTGGACCACATTTACAAAGTAACTATCTTCAACAGCATGCTCCATGCCTTGTCCAGGAGCCAGTGCAGCACGGGAACATTTCTTATTTCAGCAGGACACCTCAGGCTAATTCCAGACACACTGGATGAACCCCCACACCTCAAGTAGTTTCTTTGGTGAAGAAAATTCAAGAGTGTTGACCAGTGGCATGATTCAGCTTTTCCTTTTATACTTTGTTTTACTGCTTAGAGCTTCAGTACTTTAAGTATCTTTCTTTTAAAAAAACAGTTGGCATATACATTATCAGATACCAGCCACTCTGAGCAGAACTGGAAATTAGTAGTTGTAAGTAAAATTTACCTACAATTGCTATTAAAAAAGTTAGACGAGTAAAGGGCAAGACTCCTCTATACTTGGTAACCTAACAATTAAAAACAAGAAAGAAGAACTAAATGTCATTTTATCAACATTTAACTTTAGTCTTTCTCTATTAGAAAAACCATACCTGGCCCAGGAATGGAGCACAGATGCACTTTATAGCAGATCATTTAATCCAGAATGAGATGATGATTCTCTACAAAGCATATCATTTGCTCCAAACACTAAACAGCAGAATAATAATTAAGGCCCATTCAAAAGTCTGGCACTTCCAGCCCTCAGTTCTTTCTTCTCTATAAACTGGAGCTCAAATACAATTTTATAAATCCCATTAACAATAATGTTTCACAGTGAGGAGAATTATGTGTCCCAGCCACAACCTCAGGGATAAGGCGGAATTCAAAAGGAAGAGAAGTTAAAGCTTGATAGGAAATAATAATGACAAGGTCACATAAAAGCTACCCTAATTCTTACCTAATGGATTCCACACATAATTTACAGCTAAAAGATGAAGCTGAGAGGGAATCATGAATTTGGCCAAACATGAAAGACTAAAATTTTTAGTCAACTAATAGGCATTTAAGGAGTATATAATAAATGCCCAAGAGCATCTTGGCCCTTTCCCTCAATAAATTTACAAACAAGCAGTATCATCTAGGAACTTCAACTTGTACTGTGCTTGTCTTGTCCTTCAAACACAAGAAGAGTTTGTGTCACTGTTAAAACACTGGTTTCAGCCTGGGTCTCAAGTTGAATGAAATCCTAGTTTTTATTGAAGTATCAAAGACAAGTGCATCAGTATCAAATGAGAAAGGAAAGAAGTACAGAGCAAATATACAGGGAAGTGTGAAGGAATTACTGGGCAGCACTGAGTACCCATTTCAGATCATGAATTTAAAATGAGACCATCATACTTGTGTGTTTTCTTAAGCCATCTTTACACTTGAATGCAGAATGAGTTGGGTGCGTAATTGGGTTCAGCCAGGGTTGTTTTTTTGCCAAGTGTATAAATGAAAAGAAGATGGTCAAGGAAGTTAAGGGTGATTGCACAGGGTTGATTATTACAATATGGCAATGAATCTGAGGCAGAGGCATGAGATAATGACAGAGATGGTGGGGTTTTCTATGTAGAAGCAATAGTTTGTTCAATTCTACCTAGGTAAAGAGATGAAGGCACTTCACTTTAACCCCCTATCTCCAGACAACGTGTTCAAGTCCTCTGCCCTCTGTTCAGAGGAATTTGCCCAGAGATTAAATATAGATGCATGTGGTCCACATTGATGAAGATTTGGCAATGGGTCTTTTTTATTATTGTCCCTGCTCTCTACAGTGATGGTCTTTATTACTTTCTGTCCCTCCACTTCTTCCATTCCAGTCTGAGTTCTCTTCTGTCTCTCCATTCCCATCCCCAGTCTCAATCTTTTACAGTTTTTGAAAGAAGAAAACAAAAAAAAGTAATAAACATATGTGTGCCTGTGTCATTATAGTACAATGATTTATAATCCTTTGGGTATATACCCAATAATGGAATTGCTCAGTGAAATGGTATTTCTAGTTCTGGATCCTTAAGGAATCGCCACACTGTCTTCCACAATGGTTGAACTAATTTACACTCCCACCAACAATGTAAAAGCAGCACTGTTCACAATAGCAAAGACTTTGAACCAACCCAAATGCTCATCAATGATAGACTGGATAAAGAAAATGTGGCACATATACACCACGGAATACTATGCAGCCATAAAAAAGGATGAGTTCATGTCCTTTGCAGGGACATGGATGATTCTGGAAACCATCATTCTCAGCAAAGTATCACAAGAACAGAAAACCAAACGCCGCATGTTCTCACTCATAAGTGGGAGTTGAACAATGAGAACACATGGACACAGGGAGGCGAACATTACACACTGGGGCCTGTCAGGGGTGGGGGTCTAGGGGAGGGATAGCATTAGGAGAAATACCTAATGTAGATGACGAGGGTTGATGGGTGCAGCAAACCACCATGGCGTGTGTATACCTATGTAACAAACCTGCACATTCTGCACATGTACCCCAGAAGTTAAAGTATAATAAATAAAAAAAACACCCTCAGCAAATACACATGAAAAAATTTATGACTCTGTTTTTCTTCCTCCTTTTATTGTTATTCTTTTTCCTTCCCTTCCATTCCACTCCTTTCCTGAGAATTGAAATATTAAAATCATTAGGTGGGACATCTAGGTAGGCATCTGTGCTGGAAGTATGGAGAAGGGGTAGTCATAGTGACTCAGAGAAGGGTGGCAAACTCTAAGCAAAATGAGGAGGGTATTCATGTGGGGGCCTCTGGTACCCCCCACATGAATTTCTGAAAAACTTACATTTCTAATAAATTTATCTTTGTTAATGAGATAGACATAAATTTATATATGTAGATAGAGATATCCTCTGTCAAGAACAATGCCCCACCCAACATAAATCACTAACCAAAAGTTTCCATAGATGGACTTATATACACAGCACATATCACTGAGGAAATGTGTACTTAAGATGAAAATAGAAGGTATGGCAGTTTTCCAAAGATAGCAGTCCCCTCACCACTGACTGCTTAATGGACTATTAAATAATTCCAGTCTTTACCACTGTCTCTCTAAGAACATCAAAGGGACCTTAATTCATAATACACAGCACATCTTAAATCCCTCTTTTCTCTCCTCTCCAACTCTTGTCTTTGCCACAGCTGATGCTGAGCCTCACTCTCTCAACTCTCCACCTTTCTAGGTGCCCCACCTTGCTTGACTTCTGTTTTCTGTTTTTTGTTTGTTTGTTTGTTTGTTTTTGGCAAGATCAGATTCTCACATGATGGAGGAGTCAGAAAAGGTGAGCCAAGAAAGACCAAATAAATTCCCTATTTCTCTTTACTGGGCTAGAAGAGGTGTGGTGGCTATGTGTAGACTACAAACACTTATACTTTAACAAATATTGTCACACTGACACTTTTCCTTTTGGCCGCACTAAATAGGGATGCTCCCTTTACCAAGGAAAATCAATCTGTGCCCTCAGCTAGGAAGGTAAGACTGGTTGTCTACTAGGTAAAATCAAGAAAGCCTCAAGACCTTCCTTAGGCCATCTTAAACTGTTCTGCCAGGATCAGCTTAACTATGCTTAACTGTTCCTTAACC
Organism: Homo sapiens; assembly: GCF_000001405.40. Classification (NCBI taxonomy): domain Eukaryota; kingdom Metazoa; phylum Chordata; class Mammalia; order Primates; family Hominidae; genus Homo; species Homo sapiens. The sequence goes on from NC_000007.14 coordinate 90,037,787, forward strand.
AATTAAATAATTCTTGCCCTTAATGTCTCTTGACCAATGGAGAAGGTTAACTTTGGTTCATATCCACCCAGTGCTACTTCTCTTCTTTCCTTCCCCCCAAAACCCAAAACTAATATTAGCCATATGTTTCAGTAAGCTCTCCCCAATCCGAGACTCTCTGTGGACCTACCATAGCCAGAAACAGCCAGAACTGTCTCTCTGAATTAAAGCTTGGGATTTATATAAATGGCCCTAGATACTGCCCTCTGGGGAACTTTAAGTGGCAACCTACATGCTATCTGAAACAGAAGCCCAACATCTACCTCTCTGGATGGGTCTTGCCTCTGGAAGTTGGCAGCTGGAGCCCAGCATGAATTCACAGACAGAGGGAGCTTTCTCCTGTGTCTTCAAAGGAAAATCCCAAGCAGAATCAAGTGAGCAGCCACAGCAGCAGTTCTGTCTACTGTAGGATGCTTCCTACTCAATCATAGCCAGGTGTGATTTTATATGATAGAAGTATCTCTTTCTTTTAAGCCCTTTGTTACAGGAAGGAACACAGTGTGGTTGTTTTCATCTTCAGGCACCCTTAAAAGGTAAATTTGAATCCAAATCAAATAGAAAAGATAATCCATGAATCTTACTACAGAGTTGGAATTTAACAATAATGCTAACACTTATTCACCACTTGTTATGTACCTGACACTGTTCTAGTCCTTTGTATATATTTTAATTTTATTTAATACAAAACTCCATGAGGTAGGAACTACCATTATCTCTCTTTGAAAATGAGGAAACTGAAGGTCAACAAGTAACTACTAATGTATCTGGCACTGTATCTCAAACCCAAATGCTTAATGGCTACATTATACTACCTGTCCCCTAGTATATGTGAATGGGGCAAAGAGCTGAAAGGGATATCCCTGTCCTCTCATCCAGTAGGAGTGAATGTGAAAAGAGAGAGGGAGCTAAAATCGTGGCAGAAAGGACAAATTATAAGGGGAGGTGGTCCTGAATAGCCACTGAGTGATGACAGAGAGCAATGTTGAAGAAAATGATGCTAAGACTAAGTAACATATAGTCATAGATCCATACCTCCCAGGACATCCAGCAGATAATGAAAATGCAGGCTCCCCAGGCACCTTAAAAGATCCCAAAAGAGACAGAGGTTACACAAAAGTCACACCTTCCTAATTAAAAGTACTTAGGACAAGAGACAAATGGTCCAGGTCAAGAAACCCAATCAACACAGAAAGGATGTTCGGAAGCTATGTGCTGAGGACTCAGAGCATTCTAGTCCCTTGTACACAGTAAAGGGGAAGCATGGGTGGGCAGGAAAACGCTTATCCTCAGATGTGTCGGCAGCAAACTTTTTACTAAAAGAAGACCCCATTCAAGATAAAACATAATTGAAAAATATTTAACCACCCTCTGATTCCAGCAAAATAGCTTGCCAGAAGCATTTTTTCAAATTGCATCCATTTTTATGACTAAGTGGGGTTCTTGGCAGCAGTCCTATGTGATTCCCAAGACTATGCTTAGCTGCTTATTCCTTCCATGCAAAAGCAGCCCTTTAATGCAGTCACCACCACATCCTTACAACTGTATGTCATCCCTCTATCTACCTTCATCCCACACCAACAGGTCACAAAGGTCCAAGGAGAGCTGGCGACTGAGTCACATGAGCACTTAGAGTGACAGTCCACTCTCCTCTAGATAAGCAACATCCATTCCTGAGCAGTCTGCTTTTACTTGCTCCAGGTGAATTCAATGACACTTCTGAACTTAGGAAATAAAACAGGACTGCGTTCTTTATAGTAAAAATGGCTTCAGGTTACCTCATCAGTTTCTTTCATATGTACCGCTTCCATGTCTGAGATTGTTATTAAGCTATGGACTCTCAGCTTCAAACCCACTCATCTACGCTCAACTTTGCGCTGCTGGGGCTGGAACTCTGCAAACTCTATTTCACCTCTGCCAGCTGAGTTTCTTAGATGGGGCCACCAAGAGGTGCTAGAGGGAGACCAGGGGCTGGAGGAGAGAGAGGAGACTTGCTCTTCTGTTTGCTCACTGTTCTGCAAGCATCATTCAGCACAGTTACTTCAACTCAGCAGCAGCAGTTGACTTCAGTAATAGTTGATTCCAGTTTCCATTTTTTCCATGCTCCAGGAACCAATCATCTTTTATCATCTCAGAGATAACAGGACCATAGCCACAGGATTCCCACTCTGAACTTCTCAATTCTAATAACCTCAACCTGTCCCCTTTGTTCCTGAGCCCTGGAGGGCACAGCTGCTTCCTTCAGGTACCATCTCTGCATTGCCTTAATGTTTCCCTTTTTCTCCAATACCTGATTATTTATATCCTTAAATTATCTGTTAAAATAACTGTTGTCTATTTTCCTCACCAACCCTGCCTGATACAATATGTGAGTTAATTTCTTCTGTCCTGTCTAAACATACAAAAAGGAAACCAAAATTTGTCACCTCGTGGAGCTTCAGTAATAGGAGACTGTTTAAGTTTTCAACAAATACATTCTCCCCTTTGTTGACAATGGCAGAAAACACGGTCATAAACCTACTTTTCATTTGTTCTTTTCCTGTTGTTGACTGTTAATGATGAATGTTTGGAAATCAAAATTTTAATGCTGAAAATTTTATTGGTTAAAGTTACTTGTATTACATAAAGGAGAAGTAATTCAATCTTGAGCAAGAAAACAGAGCTGTGAAAACTTTTGGGTTTCCTCAAAACTTCCTGCATGAGTTTCCTCTGGCTACACATTTCTTTGTCCACATTATGACAAACCTGGTGGTTTAAAACAACAGAAGTGTATTCTCTCATAAATCTGGAGGCCAGCAATCTGAAATCAATGTGTCAGCAAGGCTGTGCTACCACTGAAGACTCTAGGGGAGAATCCCTTGCTTCTTCCAGCTTCTGGTGGCTCTACGACTCCTTGACCTGTACCACACCAATCGAATCTCTGCCTATGAGATCATATCACCTCCTCCTCTTTATGTGTCTTCTCCTCTATGTCTTTCTCTAAAAACTCCTCTGCTTTTATCTTATAAGGATACATGTGATTGTATGTAAGGCCCACCCAGATAATCCAGAGTAGCTCCTCCTCTCAAGAACCTTAATTTAATCAGTTCCTTTATTATACAAGGTAATATTCACAGCCTCTAGGAAAAAGGACATGGACAAATTTGGGGGGAGTCACCATTTAGCCCACCATTGTCCACCCTTAATGACCCCTTTACTTTTTCCATTTTCTTCCTTTGGGAATGGGAATGTTTTGTAACTGTTATAATATGTCTGACTCATTATTGTAGTTTGGAAACAACTTGTTTTCTAGTTTCACAGGTCCACAAATGGAGACAATGTCCCAAGATGGATCATGCTTAGATTCTCACCTATATCTTATTTACATGATTTAGATGATGAGATTTGGGACTTTTTAAGCAATTATATTTAAATGAGATTCTCAGATTTAGAGCTTGTGCTATAACAGTTTGAGGTTTTGAGGGATGTATTTTGCATATAGGTTGAACATAATTTTTGGAGGGCCAAAGGATGGAATGTAGTATACTAAATGCTGTCCTTCAAAAAGATACGTCCACATTTTACTCCCCAGAACCTGTGAATACTACCTTATATGGCAGAAGGTGTGATTAAGGATCTTGAGTTAAAGAATTTATGTTAGATTATCCAGGTGAATATGAAATGCAATCACCATGTATATTTATATAAGAAAGGCAGAGGGATTTTGAGATAGGCATGCAGAGGAGAAACCACACAAAGAAGTAGCAGCAATATAATCATGAAGGCAGAGACTGGGTTCACGAAGCTACAGACCAAGGAACACCAAAGAATATCAATTGCCACCAGAAGCTGAAAAAGGCAAGAAGCAGATTATCCCCTGGAGCCTTCGCAAGGAATACAGCCACGTCAACAACTTGGTTTCAGACTTCTGGTCTCCAGAACTGTGGGAGAACACATTTTTTTTTTTTTGGTCTCTCTTATTTTACTGTGGTGAGAACAATTAACAAGAGATCTACCTTCTCAAACATTTTTTTTTAGTTCTTTTTAATTATACTTTAAGTTTTAGGGTACATGTGCACAATGTGCAGGTTAGTTACATATGTATACATGTGCCATGTTGGTGTGCTGCACCCATTAACTCGTCATTTAACATTAGGTATATCTCCTAATGCTATCCCTCCCCCTGCCCCATCCCACAACAGTCCCCGGTGTGTGATGCTCCCCTTCCTGTGTCCATGATGAGTTCATGTCCTTTGTAGGGACATGGATGAAGCTGGAAACCATCATTCTCAGCAAACTATCGCAAGGACAAAAAACCAAACACCGCATGTTCTCATTCACAAGTGGGAATTGAACAATGAGAACACATGGACCCAAACATTTTTAACATACACTACATTATTGTTGACAATAGGCACAACATTTTACAAAAGATCACTAGAACTTATCCATTGTGCTTGACAAACTTCATGATGGTAGATTAGTAACTCTCCACTTCCACTTTGCCCCAACCCCTGGTAACCATTATTGCACTCTTTGATTTTATGAATTTGGCTATTTTAAATACCTCATATAGTTGAAATTATGCAGTATTTGTCTTTACGTGACCAGCTTATTTTACTTAGCATAATGTGCTCAAAGTTCATCCATACTGCAAAATTTCCTCCTTTTACAGGGCTAAGTAGTGTCCCATAATATGAATATACTACATTTTCTTTATTAATTTATCAATCAATGGGCATTCAGGTTGTTTCCACATCTGCGGTATTGTAAATAGTGCTGCAATGAACATAAGAGTGCTAGCATCTCTTCAAGATCTTTATTTCAATTCGATTGGATAAATACCCAGAAGTGAGCTTGCTTAGTCACACAGTAGATCTATGTTTAAGTTTGAGGAACCTCCATACTGTTTCCAAATTAACTGCCCCATTTTGCATTCCCATCAACAGAGTGCAGGGGTTCCAATTTCTCCACATCCTTCCCAACATTTCTCTTTAAAATAACAATAATAATAATAATAACCATTCTAATATGTGATGTCTTCTTTGGGAAAATGTCACTCAACTCCTTAGAACATTTTTTTAGGGTTTTTTTTTTTTTTGCTATTAAGTTATATGAATTCCCTACATATTTGGGGGATTAAACACTTAGACGATTTTCAAATATCTGCTCCCATTCCATAAGCTGCCTTTTCATTCTCTTGATTGTTGCCATTCCTGTGCAAATTTCATGTAGTCCCACATGTTTATTTTTGTTTTTGTTGCCTGTACTTGAGGTGTCATATACATAAAATCATTGCCAAGACCAATATCATGAATATTTCCACGTGTTTTCTTCTAGTTGTTTTAAATTTTCAGGTCTCATCTTTAAGTCTTTTGTCCTTTTTGAGCTGATTCTTATTTATGGTATAAGATAAGGATCCAATTTTATTATCTTGTATGTGGATATTCAGTTTTCCCAAAACCATTTACTCATAAAACTATCATTTTTCTATTGTATATTCTAGGCACTTTTGTCAAGAATCAGTTGACCTTACAGGCATACCTCATTTTATTACACTTCACTTTATGGTACTTTACAGATATTTTGTTTTTTTACAAATGTAACTTTGTGGCAACCCTGTTTCCAGCAAGTCTGTTGGCACCATTTTTCCAACAGCATATACTCACTTCATGTCTCTGAGTCACATGCTGGTAATTTTAACAATATTTCAAACTTTTTCATTATTATTATATCTATTATGGTAATCCATAATCAGTGCTCTTTGATGTTACTAGTGTAGTTGTTTGGGGGTATTATGATCTACGCCCATGTAAGACAGTGAAGTTAATCAGTAAATACTCTGTGTATTCTGACTGTTCCATGGACTGGCCATTCCCCTATCTCTCTCTCTCCCCTCAGATCTCCCTATTCCCTGAGACACAACAATATTGAAATTAGGCCAATTAATAATGATACAATCACCTCTAAGTATTCACATGAAAGGAAGAGTTACATATCTCTCACCTGAAAACAGAAGCTAGAGATTATAAAGTTTAGTGAGGAAGGCATGTGATCTAAAACAGGGACAATTTTGCTTCTTTCTAATTTGCATGTCTTTTATTTATTTCTCTTGCCTCATTGCTCCAGTTAGGACTTCCAGTGCTGTATGTGTAGAAGTAGCAACAATAGGCATTCTTGCCTTTTTCCTGATCTTAGAGAAAAAGCTTTCAACTTTTCCCAATAATTATGATGTTAGCTGTGTGTTTTGTTATATATGGCCTTAATGATGTTAAGGTAATTTCCTTCTATTACTAGTTTGTTGAGAGTTTTTATCATAAATGTTTGCTGAGATTTGTCAGACACTTTATCTTCACCTATTTAGATGATCATGTGATTTTTATCCTTTATTTTATTAATATAGTTTATCACATTAATTGTGTTGAACCATCTTTGCATCCCAGAAATAAAGACCCCTTGGTCATGGTGTAAGATCCTTTTAAAATGCTGTTGAATTCAGTTTGTTATACTTTGCTCTGATCTTTATGATTCCCCTCCTTCTGCCAGCTTTGAGCTTTGTATCTTGCTAGTGTTCAGTTGAGAACTTTTGCATGTATATTTATCATGGTTACTGACTTGTAGTTTTCTTGATACCAAAAGGTATCAGGGTGATGCTGATGAAACGAACTTGGAAATATTTCCTTCTTTTCAATATTTTGAAATGATTTGAGAAGTAATGTTATCAGCTTTTCTTTAAATGCTTAGTAGAATTAAACAGTGAAGCTATCAGATCCACAGCTTTTCTTTGGAAATTTTTTTTATCACAGATAACAACTCCATACTAGTTATGTCTATTCAGACTATTTCTTTATGATTTAGTCTTCATAAGTTCTATGTTGGTAAAAACTTATCCATTTATTCTAGGTCATTCAGTTTGTTAGCATAAACTTATATGCTATAATTGTTTGTAATAGACTTTATAATTATTTTTATTTTTGTGGCATCAGTTATAATGTTCATTTTTATTTCTGATTTTATTTCAGTCTCCATTTTTTTAGTCTAGCTAACAGTATGTCCATTTAATATTTTCAGAATACCAACTCTTAGCTCTGTTGATTTCTTTCTATTATTTGTCTATTTCAGTCATTCCTAGTCTAATCTGTTATTTTCTTTTTCCTGCTAACTTTAGGTTTAGCTTGGTTTTCATTGGTCTAGTTCCTAAAGTGTAAAGTTTAGTTCTTTATTTAAGATCTTTCTTGATTTTTAATGTAGGCATTTATTGCTATGAAAGTCTCTCTTAGTATTGCTTTGCCACGTCCCATAAATTTTGGTATGTTGTATTTGTATTTTCATTTGTCTCAAGGTATTTCCTAATTTCCTCTTAAAGTTTGTCTTTAACCCAATGATTATTTAAGAGTGTGTTCTTTAATTTCCACTTGTGTAAATTTTCTAGTTTTCTTTTTGTCACTGATTTTAAGTTTATTTCATTGTGGTCAGAAAACATACTTCGTATGATTTTAATCTTCTTAACTTTGTTAAGATTTGTTTAGTGACCTAACTCACAATCCATTCTGGAGAAAAATCTATATATACTTGAGAAGAATATGTATTTTGCTATTGTTGAGTGAAATGTCCTATATCTCTGTGTGTGTGTGTATATATATATACTATATATATATAGTGTGTATATATATATAGTATATATATATCTGTATATATGTATCTGTATGTGTGTGTGTGTGTGTGTGTGTATATATATATATATATATATATATATATATATATATATATATATATATATAGTGTCATTCTAGTCCTGTTTCCTTATTGACCTTCCATCTGGATGTTCTGTCCATTATTGGCCGATGTTGGCTTTATATATTTTGGCACTTTTCTGTTTAATGCATATATATATATATGTGTGTGTGCGTGTGTGTGTATACACACACGTGTATATATATACACACACACATATATAATTGTGAGATCTTTCTGGTCGAGTGACCCTTTTATCATTAGTCATTATAAAAATTCTTCTGTCTTTTGTTACAGTTCTAGACATAGTTCTATTTTGTCTAAGATTGCTTGCTTAGACCCTTGCTCTCTTTCAGTTAGCATTTGCATAGAATATCTTTTTCCATTCCTTCAGTGATTAAGTGAAGTAATGAATAATGAAATGAAGCCATAATAAAAAGTCTCCCATCAAAAAAATAAAAATAAAAAAAGCCTAAGACCTAATGGCTTGAGAGCTGATTTCTACTATCTTTTAAAGAACAATACCAACTGTACTTAAACTCCTTATAAAATTAAAGAGGAGGGAATCCTTCCAAACTCATTCTACAAGGCTAGCATTACCCTGATACTAAAACCAGACAAGGACACACAAAGAAAGAAAGAAAAACACAGGCCAATATCACTGATGAACATAGATGCAAATATTCTCAACAAAATACTAGCAAAGCAAATCCAACAGTACAATAAAAAGATCACACACCATGATCAAGTGGAATTCATCCCTGGGAGGCAAGGATGGTTTCACATATACAAATCAATAAATGTGATACATCACATTAATAAAATAAAGAACAAAAATTATATGAGTATTTCGACAGATGAAAAAAAGGCATTTGATAAAATTCACCATCCCTACATGCAAAATACCCTCAACAAACTAGGAATAGAAGGAAAATACCTCAAAATGGAAGAATCAAATATGATGAAGCCACAGATGACATCACAGTCAATGGGGAAAAATTGAAACTCTTTCCTCTAAGATCTAGAAAAAGACAAAGATGCCCACTTTCACCACTTTCATTCAACAAATACTGGAAGTCCTGGCCACAGCAATTAGCTAAGGGAAAGAAATAAAGGGCTTCAAAGCTGGAAAGAAAGAAGTCAAATTATCCTTATTTGTAGAATGTGATGTTATTTTTAAAGAAATTGAAAGACTATAAAAAACCTGTTACAATTGATAAACAAATTCAGTGAAGTTACAGGATATGAAATCAATATACAAAACTCAGTAGCATTTGTATACACCAAGAACAAACAATCTGAAAAGAAATCAAGAAAGCAATTGCATTTGCAATAGCTACAACGGTTATAAAATACTTAGAAATCAATTTAACCAAAGAAGTGAAAGATCTATATAAGAAAAATGATTTAAAAATTGATGAAATAAATTAAAAGATCACACAAAAAAGTGAAAAGATATTCCATACTCATGAATTTTAAGAATTAATATTGTGAAAATGGCAATACTACTAAAAGTAATTTATAGAGTCAATGCAATTTGTATCAAAATACCAATGACATTTTTCACAGAAATATAAAACAATCCTAAAATCTGCGTGGACCTACAAAAGACCCCAAATAGTCTTAATCAAAAAGAACAAAGCTGGAGCCACCACATTACCCAACTTCAAATATGACTGCAAAGCTATAGTAACCAAATCAACATGTTATTGGCATAAAAACAGATATGTAGACCAATGGAGAAGTATTGAGAACCCAGATATTAATCCATACATTTACAGCTAACTGCTTTGACAAAGGCACCAAGAACATAGAATACAGAAAGAACAGTCTCTTCAATAAATTGTACTGGGAAAACTGAATAACCACATGCAAAAGAATGAAACTAGACCCCGATCTCTTGCCATACATAAAAATCAAATCAAAATGAATTGAAATCTTAAATCTTAGACCTAGAATTATGAAACCCTAGAGAAAAAAATTGGGTAAATGAGCCAGGACATGGGTCTGGGCAAATAATTTTTGTGTAAGACCTCAAAAGCACAGGCAGCCAAAGCAAAAACTGACATATGGGATTATATTAAGCTAAAATGCTTCTGCACAGCAAAGGAAATAATCAACGAAGTGAAGAGACAACCAGCAGAATGGGGAAAAATATTTACAAACTATTCAACTGACAAAAGATTAACACAGAACATATAAGGAGCTCAAACAACTCAATAGCAATAAAAACACCCCAATTAAAAACTGGGCAAAGGACCTGGATAGCCATTTCTCAGAAGAATGCATACAAATGGCCAACAGTTATATGAAAAAACCTCAATATAACTAATCATCAGAGAAATGCAAATCAAAAATGCAACTAAATGGCAGTGAGATGATATCTCATTGTCTTGTATCTTTTGGTCTCATAGCAAAAAGACAGGGAAAAACAGATGCTGGCAAAGATGTGGAGAAAGGGGAATCCTTGCACAGTGTTGATGGAAGTATCAATTACCACAGCCACTGTGGAAAACCGTATGGATATTTCTCAAAAAACTAAAAATTGGGGGTGGGGGGTTGAGCCAAGATGTCTGAATAGAGGCAGCTCCATTCTGCAGCTCCCACCAAGAAGGACAAAAACTACAAGTGAACTCTGCATCTTCAATTGAGGTACTGAAGTTCTCCTACTGGGATTGCCTAGGTGGCTGGCATGACCCATGGAGAGTGAGCAAAAACAGGGTGGAACGTGAGATTTGGGAGGGGCCAGGGGTGGAATTATATGGTTTGTCTGTGTCCCCACCCAAATCTCATCTTGAATTGTAGTCCCCATAATTCCCATGTGTCGTGGGAGGGACCTTGTGGGAGGTAATTGAATCATGCTGGTGGTTACCCTCATGCTGTTCTTGTGATAATGAGTAAATCTCATGAGATCTGATGGTTTTATAAAGGGGAGTTCTCCTGCACAGGTTTTCTCTTGTCTGCTGCCATGTAAGAGATACCTTTTGCCTGCTGCCATGATTGTGAGGCCTCTCCAGCCATGTGGAACTGTGAGTCCATTAGGCCTCTTTTTCTTTAGAAATTATCCTATCTTGAGTATGTCTTGATCAGTAGCATGAAAATGGACTAATATAGTGATGCTTATCCCAATTCTTCTGATTTGATCTTTACACATTATATGAAGGTATCAAATTATACATACCCCCAAGATGTGTCTATTATGTATCAATATTTCTGATATATAAAATTAATTTTAAAAAACTAATAATAAAGTAAACTTATAGAACAGCAAATAGTTTGGGCTATTTTTAATCCATTTTTTAATCCTTTTTTTAAATCCATTCAGCCACCCTATGTTTGATTAGGGAGTTTAATTTATTTACTGTATTAGTTTGTTTTCATGCTGCATCAAGACATACCCAAAACCGGAACAAAAGAGGTTTAATTGGACTTACAGTTCCACATGGCTGGGGAGGCCTCAGAATCATGGTGGGAAGTGAAAGGCACTTCCTACATGGCAGCAGCAAGAGAAAAAGGAGGAGGAAGCAAAAGTGGAAACCCCTGATCAAACCATCGAATCTCATGAGACTTATTCACTATAATGAAAATAGCACGGGAAAAACCAGCCCCTATGATTCAATTATGTCCCCATGGGTCCCTCCTACAACATGTGAGAATTCTGAGAGATACAATTCAAGTTGAGATTTGGGTGAGGACACAGCCAAACGACATTATTTACATTTAAAGTAATTATTGATAGGGAAGGATTTGCTATTGCCACTTTATTCATTGTTTTCTACTGGTCTTATAGTTCTTCTATTGTATTTTCCTTTCCTATTGCTTTCCTTTGTGTTTTGTCCACTTTTCGTATTAGCACACTTTGATCTTTTTCTCTTTTGATTTTGTGTAACTTTGTGGGTATAACATGTCTCTGGGTGAATTTCTTTGTGTTGATCTAATTTGGTATCTTCTAGGCTTCCTAGATGTGGATGATCATTTCCTTCCCCAGATTTGGAAAGTTTTCACCCATTATTTCTCTGAATAAGCTTTATGGTTCTTTTTCTTCTCCTAGTACTCCCATAATGTGCATATTGCTCCTATTGATGATGTCCCATAATTCCTCTATGCTTTCTCCACTTTTTCATTTTTTTTTGTTTTTCTACTGAATTATTTTTAGTGATCTTTCAATTCACTCATCCTTTCTTCTGATTAATCTAGTCTGCTATTGAATCCCTCTAGTAAATTTTTAGTTGAGTTATTGTGCTCTTCAGCTCCATGATTTCTGTTTGGTACTTTTAATATTTTCTATCTCTTTGTTGAAATTCTTACTTTATACATGCATTGTTCTTTTGACCTCACTGAGCATCTTTTTAAGAGTTATTTTTAATTCTCTGTCTGTAAATTATATACCTCCTTTTCATTAGGCTTTGGTTTCTGTAGATTTACCTTGTTCTTTTGTTTGAAACATCTTTGCCTGGTTTTTCATTTTTCTTGACTCTCTGTGTTGATGTCTGCATATTACACAAAGCAGGCACCCCTCTGTCTTCACAAACTGACCTGTATAGGAAAAGACCTTCACCAATCATCCTAGCCAGGGATTCTGAGATCGTCTATTAACTCTTTTCCTCTCAAGGAAGAAGTAGGCAGCTGCAGTTTCTGACTACTTGCTCTGTGCTGAGCTAGGGTGGGGAGCTTTGGCATCTACCAATCCAAGTCAACATGCCCATTGTTCCCCAGGCAGCTAGACTGTACTGGATCTGTCAGAGCTTCAAGATTGGTGAGGCAGGTACTAGTTCTTTGGGCAGCTCTGGAAACTGGGCATTGATGTACACGTCAACTCTCCCCCTACCAGAGGAAACTGAGAGCTGGTTTTATTTTTATTTTTTTCCATCTATTTGCTCTGTGCTTAACTGAGGGGAGGATCCATGTCATCTACTACCTCTGTTCTCCTCCAGGTGGCTAGACTATTCTGGACCCTTCAGATATCCAAAAGCCCCCTGAGAAAATTTGGGGTATTAGACACATGAAAAAACACCTTCCCTGCTCTGGGTGAAGCTGAGAGCTAGTGTACCTTTACTTGGTCATATAGTGCTGTGCTAGGGGTAGGGTTTCTGGTGAAAGGGTATCTTAAATCTTCCCACTAGCTTTGTTAAGTCTGGTTTCATATTTGGTTTTCAGGATGCCAGAGCTTTTCTGGTTTCTCACAAAGGGGATTTGTCCATGAGTTGCTGCTGAATTGATGTGTTTATGAGGTATATTTGTGGGGGAAGAAGGGTCAAGGGCTTTCTATTTCACTATATTGCTGATATCATTTCATATTTCTATTGTTTTAAGCCCCAAAGTTTGTGGTAATTTGTTATGGCAGCTTTAAGAAACTAACACGGTTCCCAAAAGATAACAAAAAATACAATGGCAAAAAGTTAAAAATTGTTAAAACCAGATTTGAAAAAAAAAGATTACCAGCCATAGGACATATGTTCTCAACTTCAGATGGGGGAGGGATGAGAGTAGATACAGATTCATTTGTACTATTTCAAAATAAGTTTTAAAGTACAAAAGTCAGTGCTATTAATTGAGATTCTTAACTGTTGATGTTATACAAGAGTTTCAAGAATCAACAAGCTTTAAAAATTAATGCATCATTAAATGTATGTAGCTCATCAATTCTTTTTAATGATATTCAGTTACCCCCAAAACACAACCTGCAGGCACAGTGAAATTCACTTGGTTGATGATTCTAAACATTATGGAACGTCAACCTCTAGCAATTCAAATCTGCCCAATTGTATTTCCTTTTCACTACTGATAAATTTTCAAACTGAAACCTTTCAAACCACACATCTTGGTTACAAAATAAATTTTAAGCATTAGAATATGGTTGTTTCCATACTAAAAGAGATGAAAAAGATTCTAGTATTTATTTTCTTGTATACAACAGTTTTAAACCTTCTAAAGCTGTTTTCTATTTCTTTCATTCATCAAGCACATGAAAAAAGTAATTGTCCTAAAAGTAGAGAAAAAATGTGAAAGACGTTGCAATTCACTTTATAGCATCTTGCAAGTTATAAACTCATGTGTTTAACAACTTCTTTAAAGAACCTAGATATTATTATACTGAGTTACATCTACAAATTATATAACAACCTAGTTTTATGCTTTTCATAAGTCTCAAGGAATGTTCTTGCTACCCCAACTTTGAATCACTCTAACATTTCAGAAACTTCTTGTTTTCCCCAATCCATTATATCTGTCTACTGAAGCAGTAAATAGCCCAACATTTTTAGTGCTGAAAACCACAAATGTAACATCTTATAAGAATGAATTAATAATGAGAAAATTTTTTATGAAATGACAATAGTTCATGAATTATACTTTAAGAGTAAGAAGTTTTTGGTTCTCAGGGTTGATAATAACTAGAAGTTGTGAGAGATGTTCCTGGTTCTACTACCACCAGACCTCAGATATATGGTACTCTGGTCTTACAGGAAGCAGAGAAGCTTTCAAGGTACCCTCTTTCATCACTATATAAACAGAAAGACTATCCAAACCTGACCTTTAAGGAGCAAACAACAAGAATGGTGACAGTTAGGAGCCTAGAAGCCTAAGCAGAACTGCTCACGGCCATGAGTGGAAATTCCTGAGGGAAACTTCTGGGAATCTGAGAAAATAGAGGCCAGTGTGGCACACAGCAAGACTGGACCAGCATACCATGAAAGGGCAAAGTTCCCTAGAGTTGCCACAAGGCCCCAGTAATATGGCTGCACGTTAATCCTTGAACAGAATAAGCTAAATCTGAGACTTACTCTGATTGCAAACTCTTGACGAGGAGTAAAATATTTGCATGGTCTTAATTTCTTCTCACAGATTGTTTATTAGTTTGAAAGGGTGAAAATAATTAATTATATTGCAGATAAATAAGTTAGTATCTTGACCAAGTGATCAAAATTAGCATCACCATTGAGAGACAGATGGATATGCGTACCTCTGCATGTTATACCCTGAGAAGTACATAGCAGTACCTATCCAGTATTACAGCAAAGAATTAGAAAATATTTTAAAGACAATATCTAAAAATACAAAAAACTGTAAAATATATTATAGATGATAAGTTATAAAACTCTAATGAAAACATTTAAAAAGATAAATAAATAGGGAGCTACTCCAGGTTCAAGGATAGAAAGATTTCACATCATAAAAATGTCAGTTTTCCCTAAATTGATGTATATATTTAATGCATCTCCAACCAATGTACCAATGGGGCTTTTCACACAATTAGAACAGTTGATTCTAAAATTTCTATGGAAAAGCCAAGCATAACAATACTTCAGAAGAAGGAAATAGGAGATTTGTCTCACCATATATATGGATGCATTATAAAGCTATCTTAGAAGACAATATGATATTAGTATAAGGAAATAAACTGGCTAGTGGAAAAGAACAGCATCCAGAAATAAGCTCATATTTTATATGGAATTTTGATAGGTGGCAGAGGTGACACCATCTGTCCCTGGAGAAAAAAAAGGGTGGGTGTTTTTTGAAGTCTTTTGTTTTTTTCCCCAGTTACTTTGATGGTTCATGCTCATCATTTATTAGTAAGGGGAAGAAGAAAGAAAGAAAAGCAAATGGGCATATAAAGTGACCTCTCTGTGTCTTTTCTGATGCTTCTATTGCTGACAGAAATAGTAGTTATTAGAACCTAGACATTTTTATATATTACATTTATAATCACACCAGTTTGAGAATAAGCCCCAAAAGGCCCATGACGTCACAAATCATAATTTTGCTCTGGTGGAAATTTGGATATGTATATTATTTTCAAATTGTAGTTTGCATAAGAATCGAAGTATTTGAAAAAAAAATGTAGAGATTATAACTCAGTAGATCTGGTGTGCGGTCAGAAAAATGACATTTTTAACAAGGCTCTGGGTAATTCTGAAAACCATATTTTGAGAAAAGCTAGAATGAAGTGTTGGGGAGCCCAGGAGTAAATGCCTCTCTACACAGTTATGTAGTCTTTCCCTCATCAACAAATGTCATGGCTATATTATTAGCTGAGAATTTTAACTTTTTCAGATGGCACTACAACTAAGATTCCTAGTGAATCTTAAGAGTTGGCTATAAATCTAAAAGCCTGCATCTCACTGCTAGCCAGTTATACCACATCCAGCAATGAGTCTTTTAGGAATCTTTTTATGTTGATGAGAAAACACAATGGAGCAATGTGAAAATGCAACAAGACTTGTTGAGTACAGAATGAGAAACACTTTCTGTTTCTGCAATTTCATTTTCCTTCCCATTTTTACAGAGGGGAAGCTTGGCACTATCCTAGTAACTAATGAGATTTCCCCACAGTTCACAGCAGCAGGGCTTCCAAGAAGACCTTATACACCCTTATCCCTACCACAAAGGGCTTGAAGGCCTTGACCAAGCACAATACACATCACCAGTGTCTATTAACTTTCACCTGCAGTGATGCTTCCCAAGCAGCTCTAGCTCTGACCTTGGCTGTGGCTCTTAGCTTTGCATATTAAGGCTGGGTGAGGCACTCATCCCTATACCTCAAAATCCCCACACTTTTATGATCATTTCTTATAAAACACCAGGTAATGTTTTCAGAGAATAAACGAGGTCTGGTACATTGCATTTTTGAGAAATGGAAGAGTAACTACTCCATGCTTTCTGTATCTTTAACTGTTTTTCTCATCTGTTATGTTCCTCGGTGACTAAATTGATGCTTCCTTCTTTTTATCAAGCATATTCTAAAAGTTTATATTGTCTTCGACAGTCTGGCTTAGGAATATTTGTATACTTACTGGTACATTTTTTAAATAAAATATACTGGAATGTTTATAGTTGGGGTATCATTAATGCTTCTCATATCATAGGCCCCAAGCTGGAATATTAGGCCTCATCAATACAAACATAGATGACTTCCACCCATCACCTTCTCATTAAGTATCCTTTCCTTAGGCTTACATAGGCCATAGGGTTTTCTAAGGGGAGATGTCCATAAATGAGATGAAAGCCAAGTAATTCTTAGGCAATGACAGAGATTGCTCCTGCTAAGTGATCACCAAAGAAGGTACTAGCTACTGATAAAGTGAAAGCTTCACTATTTGCTAACTAAAGGAGCTGTGGTAGTCCATGCATTAGGCAATGGTGGGCTGCCTCTGAGGAAAGCTGGAAAATCTGTGACCCAGTTCCCACATAGATACCGAATGTGCAAACGCACCCCCTCCTTGCCATTACGGCCTGAATTGCACCTCCCCAAAATTCACATGTTGAACTTCTGAGGTATCCTTCGTACCTCAGACTGTGAGGGTATCTGTAGATAAACATTTAAAAACGTAACTAAGGTAAAATTAGGTCATGTGAGTGGACCCTAATCCCATCTGACTAATGTGTCCTTATAGGAGGAGAAGACAGACACAGGCATGAGCATGTTCAGAGAAAAGACCGTATGATGATACAGTGGGGAGGCGGCCATCTACCAGCCAAGGAGGGAGGACTCAGAAGAAACTAACCTTGCCAACACCTTGATCTTAGACTTCCAGCCACCAGAACTATGAGAAAATAGATTTCTATTATTGGAACCATTCAGTCTGTTACAGCAGCCTAGCAAACTAATATTAATACATTGCCAAGTGAACCCTTTTGGCTCTCCTGAGCAACAGTTATTTACTCTTCCTAGGCAATTTCACCGACAGTGCCTGGCCCTTAGAAGGCTCCATAAACATTTCTTAACTAAATGGCTTAAAAGACTTATGGGGTACTCTACTTTCTGACTTGTCACACAACTGCCCTTGGGTGAAAATTCCAGAGCCAGTTAATTTCTTAAATGTGGGGATAAGAAAGCAGAAAACATTTTTAAAGTGTTAATAACTTAAAATATCATCCAGTTATATGCCACAATAGCCAAAGAATATATTTCCAGGATAAACCAAAAGGATGTATCAATAGGCAACTCAAATGCTTTATTAACATATTAAAAGAAATTTTTGCCTTGATTCTTAAGTGTTAGATAAAATTTGAAGTATACACTGTTCTCATCTATTAAGGCTTAGAGGTCTTTCAAAAAGTCATTAGAGAAGTTGTTAACTGGATACTTCTGCATACTAAAAGTTGACCTCCTAAAACATGTCAACCTACAATAAAGACATATGTGACACTGGAATAATCTGACTCAATGGCTGAATTTTGCACAATGTGTATTAAAGCTTAGAACTGAGAGAAATGGAATTATCTTATTTTCAAAAATTATTTTAGCAGGCCTAATAAAAATTAAAGATACTAGGTGTAAGTGTTAACTAAAATAAAAACAGACAAATCTACAGCTACAGAAAAACAGTCTGCTCAAGTTCTTCCTGCAATGGCATAACGACGCAGGGAAGTCAACCCTTCCACCTGGGGTCATGATCCTTCTTCCCAAGATTTTCAGTCTCACCCAGGTTCCTCACAGTATCACCTTTGTTAGCTTTCAGTACTAGAAGTTACCATATTCTATGTATTTCTTTATATATTCATCTGTCTCGAGAATAAGCATCTGGAGATTGGGAATTCTGTCCTTTTCACTGCTGAATGTCTAATGCTTTAAAGCATGTCTACACATAGTAGTTTCTCAATGAAGCCTTTTCAGTTGATGGATTGACCAAAATATTCAGTAAAGTGTTTCTTAATACGGAAATCATGGACCAAAAAGAAACTGACAGGAGAGTTATAAGAAAATCTCAAAGAAACAGTGAAAATCTGAATTGCATGCAGATAGTGGGCAGCAAGCTACATGACAAATGAAATGAGATACAATTCAGAGAATAATTTGAATACAGCATTATTTGAAAATTACGATTCTTGATAGAGTAGAAAAGGTGGAATGGAAGGGCACCATGGAGCCCTTAGAGTTTCATAAGGAGTCTAAAAGCCACTTACATTTTAAAAATTAAAAGGTTGGTACTAAAATATCTTTATGTACCTGTTTACTTTCTTTATACAACTACAAAATTTGCAGGGTTTATGGAGCACAGCAAAGTGCTTTGATCAATGCCACTTTACAGATGAGTAAACCAAAGGCTTAGAGAAGGTGAATAACTGCCCAAAGTCACAAAACTAGTAAGTTTAAGAATTGAGCTCTGGACTCAGAAGATGTCGGTTAGGAAAATTACAATCTCAAAAATACTCCATGGTCAATTTTGACTCTAGTGTCCAATACAGTCAACATGGTTCAAAAAAAAATCATCTCACCTCTCCCTTAACATGAATTTGGGTCTGGGCATATTGCCAATTACTATAATTCCCATAATATTGCTCATAATTTTTCTTGCCCATAAAGAGGATCTCAAAGCACTTTCAGTAATTGTGACTGATCAAATTGTTACTATTTATGCTTGCTGTTCAATTACAAATCAGTTCAATATAATTACCTTGTTGGATTGTTGAGAAATTGCCTTATTCATTGTTGAAGACTATCTTCCAACTTGGTAATTTCTAAATAAAGCAGTGTCCTTTCTTCATGTTGTGGCATAACTCTTAGCTTTTGAAGGACCAGAAGAAGAAAGGGAAATTTTATCCCACTGTATAAAAACTAAAATAAATCAAAAAATAAACTAAATAAGAAAAGCTATGGGAGAAATGGATAAACAAAATAAACAGTAGAAGGAGACAAAAACTTATTTTAGGGCATGTAGCAAATAATAGCTAATGAGGGTAGACTACGCTTGAATTAGATACATCGAAAGCACAACCTTAGATTCTCTCCATCTCACTTATCCTTAAGACCCTCAGCCTGTTCTTCTAAGTAACTACCTCATAGGCCCACTCTAAAACCAGCAGAGATGTGTGGTTCAGCCAATTGCAACTGACAAAGCCTGAAATCCTTGTCTCTTCCCACTACTTTCTGACTCAGATGAAGTACCCAGCTACAGGACATGGGAACTGGCTTCTTTAGTTGTGTAACTAAGCTGCACAACTTAGTGACAACCCCAAAATGTAGAAGCGTCAATTCTTCGTAGTGTTTACTCTGACTATTGAGTGACTGGAGATGGGAGGGAAGCTGTAGATAAGTTGCTTTGCATTCCCCCCTTACATGAACCATCTGGGGGCAAGGTGCTTTTAAATAATCTGACAGAAAACCTCTTGCATGGCTGGAAAATTGCCTGTGTTTGTTTGTGAAGCCAAGCATAGTTCAGTGATGTACCACCTTATGTTTGCTGTCTTCCTCTTTACAACTTAACTTTTTCCTCACTCTCAGAGCCCTGGAATTAGATTTACCAATAAAGCATTAGCACCTTAGCTTTGCCTCAGGCTCTGTTCTCCAAGGACCCTAGAAAAAGTCTTATGTACTATCTGAAAGCTCTCAATGCACAAGGTAGAAAATGGGGGTATATAATGAGCTTCTAAATTAGTAGAAAAGACAAACACTTTGATGATAAATAGAGATTGGGTTGCCTATTCATGAAGAGTTAGTCTAGCACAATTTTGTGCCCAATATGTAAGTCAACTACAAATGCCCAACATTAGCATTTTAGCAGCTTAGCATGGTGGGGGAAAAGGCTCTGTTTACATAATGATATTTTTCCCATCTTTCAGAAGAAAACACAATTACAAGTGCATTTTTGAGGAATAATTTTTTCAGGAAAAGTAATGCAACCAATCATCCAAGGTACCTATAAAAATTTAATTACGATTATCAAATAAAATGCAGGGAAATAGCAACAGAAACTACTAAACATGTCTTCAATCCACCAGCCTCGAGAAAACACTGGACTTTACCCAGCTACCTCTTGTTGTCTAGTTACCCGCTCTTCAAACTGAGAATCATCAGCTGAATTTCAAAACAGAATTATGCAAGTTTATTTGATTTCCTCTGCTTGCCTCTCATGAAAAGACATAAAAATTAAAATGGATTGGTAGAGATGGTAGGAGCTTTCAGGTGAACACGAAATACTGTCATCAATCTCATTGTTTCAGGGAACAGTGGGCATGGTGGCACAATCAGGCTGAACAGAGAAAAGCATTTCAGCTGTGGCCACTATGAAAAATGAGATACCACCGAACAAGGCAGCAATTTCACACAAGCAAGTTAACATACTTCCTTTTTAAAAAGCTCCAGGGAAATCTGAAATTGCAAGTAAAGGGATTAAGAGAAGAGATGCTAAGAGAAACCCTTGACTTTTCTCTAAACCACTACATAATTTCACTAGAACAAACTCTTTAAGCCATGAGGATTACAATTTCCTGTTATAAGAGCCATTTCAATAAAAGGTTTGCTGATTACTTTGAAAAGTTAAAAAAAATAAAGTAAAAAAACAAGTAAGTGAAAACTGATTGCTCCCATGACATGAACTGCTTATTGAGTTTTAATGTCTTTCTCTTCTGTAGGTTTCAGGTGGAATTAGTCAAAACCAAACGTGGATTAACAGCATAAGAGGTAAATAAGTACATATCTTGAAAAATTAGAAGACACATCCCCCCTGAGATGTGTCTCTCAGAGTTAGAAGTCAGAGTCTTTCCTATTAACAGATTATGTTAGTATTGTTAATATAAGTTAAGACTAATGTGTAAATAATCTGTCAAAATACAAGGAAAAAAAAGAAGCTTAGTAGCTACACAACTCTGCTTATTTTTGTTGGTATTTGAAAGCACCAACCTCTCTAGTTCTATATTAGACTCTCTGTTATTGGTTTGTGGGATTCTTTGTCTTTAAGACTGCTCCTTCCACCTTGCTTTCACTTACTCTAATCAGACAACCTATCTGGGGACTTCTCATCTCATAGGACAAAATTATTCTTAATAAGCTTCATTCATCCCTATCCTCATCTCATGGCCATAATAGCAATGGAATAAATGCCAGGATCTGTAAGAATTTCCAAGCATTTAGGGGAGATGATCTTGCAAAGATAACATTGTTCTCAGATCTTTCTCTTGCTTTATCAGAACTTAGATTTTATTTCCTTTTTCTTTGAGATCCTGCCCATTTTCAGTGAGAGGAACTAATTTTTATATGATTTTAGCTAATATCTTTTCCAGAAAAAAATTTTAATAACTTATAAAGTAAACATTTTAGTCACCATGGAATGCAAAGAGGGAGGAAATTTTTGGCCAGGGGCCCCTTCTATTCTCCAACTATAAAACATGGAAGGTTACCTGGCTAACCTATGCACAGTGCCAGTCCTAGGTTAGAGACAGATTAATTAATAGCATGGGCAAATAAAACAGTGATGTAAGCAGCCAGGTAGTGGATTTCTGGGGTCAGATCCTGGACCTCAAGTATCCACACAATTACAAAAGCAAATTACTATATATTTATTGCATAGCTGCATTTATTGTCAAGGTTGTTATACATAAATAGATTTCAATACTTATTTTTTCCCTCTTAAATTGCCATCACATTGCTAAATAGCAAGAACATTCAGACCAGAAAATTGAGTTATTTTTTAAAAGGAAAGTTAAGTGGACAGCAGCTGCAGGATTATTACATTCCCTTGATTTATTTTTTATTTACAGATGCACATTTTCATTAGCTGGGATTTGAACAGAATGGATTTTTACAACAATAAAAGAAAAAGCAACCCAATTTGGGCTTTTATACACAGATGGGCTTCTGTCTCCTTAGACAGTTTTGAGTGTATCTTCTTCCAACACAGCCCAGATGCATCTATTTGTAAATGTTCAGCTCGCAGCCTTGAGGTAGAGGGCATAATTTCCCTCCCCAGTCTGAAGAACAAATCTCAGATGTAACGTGTTTTCTGTATAGATGTAAGGAAGTCCCAGAGAGGTAGGCTGGAAATGCAAACAAAATTTTTCCCTTTCTTCCCATTATAAATTAAGGCATTTCATGCTTCTGTGATTCTTTTTTCACTTACATATCTGTATTTGCTACAATGCTTTTCTAGATGGCTTTAGGCTGTATTACTTCCTCTTGCCTTAGAAAACAATCAAATTTGTGTTGCCAGTGTCCCAGACTAAGTTTCATTTCTTCACAGTTGTTAGGACTATCCTCTAAAGCTCTCAAATGTTTATTGTTTTAGGTTTCTAATCACAGTGGTTATAAATAAGCACAGATTCTGAAGAGTCCTTATATGCGGTACACATTTTCACTGACCAGTCTAGTTTGTTTGGGCGCCTAAGAAATGTTTAATAATTAAATAAATTCACCCTGGATGTGGTAAAGAACTTGAAGATTTTTAACCACACAGCCCTGCCTTAGCTTCGGAGGTGGTGCTGCTAAGACATCTCAGGAGCACTGGTTTAGAATTTTATTAATACTTCATTTTCTAACTCTGTTAGGGTAGCAATACAGTATCTTTACTATTAGGAAATTGGTAGGATGTAGTGCTACTGGACTAGCCAAGATGGTAAATGGGCATCAATACAATTGACGGCAGATATCTGGAATGCTGGGTGGAGACCACAGTGGCAAGGGTCTTCGTGACTACAGGATCACAGACTGCGGAAGACATCTGAGCCCTGATCCCTGGGTTTGTCCTCTGCCTCTTTCCTATTCCATGCTAGCCCCCTAGAGGGTCCAACGGAAGCTAAAGAACTAGGCAAGCTTTAGGTAAGCCTTGCCCACTCCAGACTTTTGTCCATGTCCCTGTACCTAAACACACTAGAAACTGTGGTTGAAAAAGTAAGACAGTAACTAACGTATCAGCAAAGCAACCAGGATATTTTCCCTGGTGATTTTACCACTTGCAAGCTTCCTGGCCCATTGCCTCAAGGACATTGTTTTCACTTGTCCCTGGCACGTGCCTATCCATATTTATGGATGAGTGGATTATCACTAGACAAAGACAAATTATCTTTAAATCTGAAGCTATAAAATGTTTATGTTTGTTGATTTATATTGCCCAGTTGTTCTCCCAGCAGGGTGGTTAGCAGGGTGACATAAAAATAAAACAGCATCCACCCTTTCTATGCCAAATGTAGGAAAAGAGTTAAAATGATGTTCCCAAACATGGATGGTGGCCCTCACTTTGACAAAACTAAATGAGTAGTACACCTTCTAAACTACAGTGATGACAAAGAAAACTCAGTTCTCTATCCTAAGTAAATTACACAGCTAGAAGTCACTTCCAGGTAAAGACCTGTACATCACCTTTCAATCCACCGAGGACTGTGTAACAGCTCATCTGATTCCGTGAAATCTGGAGTATCACCCTCTGTTTCAAGAACTTCAGTGGTTAAGTCCCAATTTAAACATTCCTCTTTTATCAAATCCTGTGAAAGAAATCTCTTTGAACTTTACCTCCATTTTAGATGTAATATTTGTGTAGAATTTATAGTCAGTGTTTGGTGCTTAGGTTTTATTTGTCCAATTTTTTAACTTAGCATGAGTTCTTCTGAGATTCATCTCTGCTTAGAAAGCAATAATAGAATAAAAACAAATACATAAATAAAAAGGATTTTTTTTCATAGAAATACTGACACAACCTTTAACTAGAGTGGAGGGAGTCGTGCGGCAGTAATAATAAAAGTAGCAAACGTTAGCAATCTGCTTCATAGCATGAAATAAAATATTTTAGTAAAAACATGAATACTGCTCAACTGTAATTTTTCACACAGCTGTGATAAAAGGATGATAAAAATGATAAGGCATAACAATTCCTGAGTAAACATACATATAAAATGAAGTGGAGGTTCAAATCTAAAGAGTATGTTTTACTTTCAGATTCTAAACATACTATGGCTGATGCCTTGTGTTTTTTATTTTTTTAACAACTATCAATTTTGTTCACTTGTACAATTTAATGGAGGCTAGCAGCTTCCAAAACCTGTGCTGCATTAGGAGATATTCTATTCTAGCCTGTGCATTTGACATCTTGTCACTTTGTAACATTACATACCTTTGAAGAGATAGCCTATCTATTGCCTCCTGATAGGAAAAAAATAGCAAAAGCAGTACCAATCAATCTTTCCACTGGAAAAATTCATTTTCTTAGAAATGATTATGTCCCTGCCTATTAAAAATCTGAGTCTTTCCCAAAGTAATAGAATACCTCTTAAATCATTAGAACAAATGGATGTTCTTCCAACAATGAGAGCAATTATTTTTCAAAATAGAAACATTCCTTCTAGAATGTTCTACCAGATGTAATTTATTTGGGGCAAATAAATGATTTTTAAGGAGGTTAAAACATAAAATGTTCTTAGAAAAAAAGATGACTATATATTTTTACATACTATACTAGTCACTATTTCGGTAGAACAATCTGTGACCTCTCGGTCAAGACACAGTTAAAGAAACATAGATAAGAAGAAACAATCAGTTTGGAACTTACAATAAAATAACTACTCTCGCATCTACATTAAGTTTGTGAACCATTACATCTGGTAGCCACAAAACATATATGAACCTGTGGCTCTCACCTTCTTTTTTTTCTTCTTCTTTCTTTGCCATATTTATACTTTCTTTTTCTTTTTCTTTTTCTTTTTTTTTTTTTTTTTTTTACTATACTTTAAGTTCTAGGGTACATGTGTACAACATGCAGGTTACACAGGTATACATGTGCCATGTTGGTTTGCTGCACCCATCAACTCGTCATTTACATTAGGTATTTCTCCTAATGCTATCCCTCCCCCAGCCCCCCACCCCCTGACAGGCCCCCAGTGTGTGATGTTCCCCAACCTGTCTCCAAGTGTTCTCATTGTTCAATTCCCACCTGTGAGTGAGAACACGCGGTGTTTGGTTTTTTGTCCTTGTGATAGTTTGCTGAGAATGATGGTTTCCAGCTTTATCCATGTCCCTGCAAAGGACATGAACTCATTCTTTTTATGGCTGCATAGTATTCCATGGTGTATTTGTGCCATATTTTCTTAATCCAGTCTATCACTGATGGACATTTGGGTTGGTTCCAAGTCTTTGCTATTGGGAATAGTGCTGCAATAAACATACGTGTGCATGTGTCTTTATAGTAGCATGATTTATAATCCCTTGGGTATATACCCAGTAATGGGATGGCTGGGTCAAATGGTATTTCTAGTTCTAGATCCTTGAGGAATCACCACACTGTCTTCTACAATGGCTGAACTAATTTACACCCCCACCAGCAGTGTAAAAGTGTTCCTATTTCTCCACATCCTCTCCAGCACCTGTTGTTTCCTGACTTTTTAATGATTGCCATTCCAACTGGTGTGAGATGGTATCCTACTGTGGTTTTGATTTGCATTTCTCTGATGACCAGTGATGATGAGGATATTTTCATGTGTCTGTTGGCTGCATGAATGTCTTCTTTTGAAAAGTGTCTGTTCATATTCTTTGCCCACTTTTTGATGGGGTTGTTTTTCTCTTGTAAATTTGTTTAAGTTCTTTGTAGATCCTGGATATTAGCCCTTTGTCAGATGGGTAGATTGCAAAAATTTTCTCCTGTTCTGTAAGTTGCCTGTTCACTCTGATGGTAGTTTCTTTTGCCATGTAGAAGCTCTTTAGTTTAATTAGATCCCATTTGTCAATTTTGGCTTTTGTTGCCTTGCTGTTGATATTTTATTCATGAAGTCATTGCCCAAGCCTATGTCCTGAATGGTATTGCCTAGGTTTTCTTCTAGGGTTTTTATGGTTTTAGGTCTTACATTTAAGTCTTTAATCCATCTTGCGTTAATTTTTGAATAAGGTGTAAGGGAGCTCTCGCCTTCTAACTGCCTTTACGCATGACCTGGCACACAGTATTTATTCACTGTTTATTTATAAACACGTATCAAGTACCTTTATGAGACATGGTAGCTGTAGAGACCTGCCCGCCTCTATGGTTGTAGTTGAGCTACCTGTTCAACAAAGTTCTGTATTCCTATCCCACAGTGCCTAGGGAAGTGTCTTCCTAGCCAGACACTAAATTTTTTAGTTTTTCTTTGCATCTAGATGTGGGCAGGTAGCTAGGAAGTAAGAAGAAGAGATATGATTCCTTCTGAGTCAACATGGTTAAGAAGCAAATATGGTCTCTTTGTTCTCTTTCCCTTATATGGCATCCTTGGAATTCACGTTTTGAAGACGGCAATGCCCCAAGATAGAAAGACCCTGAGTTTCTGCATCACCACACAGAAGACAGCCAGAAACCACATGAAAGTGCTTTGAGAGTGAGAATAAGCTTAAGTTGTGTTAAACTACAGTCATGTGCTGCATAATAACATTTCAGTCAACAACAGACAGCATATACAAGGGTTATCCTGTAAGATTATAATGGAGCCAAAAAATTTCTATTACCTAGTGATATTGTAGCTGTCATAACATTGTAGTGCAATGCATTACTCACATTTGTAGCAATGCTGGTGTAAACAAACCTACTGCACTGCCAGTCATATAGAAATATAGCACATACAATTATGTACAGTACATAATACTTGAAAATGATAACAAATGACTGTTACTGGTTTATGTATTTACTATACTATACTTTTAATCATTATTTTAGAGTATACTTCTACTTCTTAAAAAAAGTTAACTATAAACAGGCTCAGGCAGGTCAGGAGGTATTCCAGAAGAAGGCATTGTTATCACAGGAGATGACAGCTCCATGTATGTTATTGCCCCTGAAAACCTTCCAGTGGGACAAGACATGGAGGTAAAAAACAGTGATATTGATGATCCTGACACTTTGAGTCTTAGGCTAATGTATGTGTTTGTGTCATTTTTGGCAGAAAAAAGTTTAGAAAGTTTTAAAACTTTAAAAAATAGAATAAGGATATGAAGAAAATATTTTTGTATAATGTGTGTGTTTTAACTAAGTTACTACAAAAGAATCAAAAAGTTAGAGAAGAGTTTAAAATTTATAAAATAAGACAGTAAGCTAAAATTAATTTATTATTGAAAAGAATTTATAAATGTAGTATAGCCTACATGTACAGCATTTATAAAGTCTATAGCAGTATACAGTAATATCCTAGGCCTTCACATTCATTCACCACTCACTGACTCACCTAGAGCAACTTCCAGTCCTGCAAGCTCCATTCATAATAAGTACTCTGTACAGGTGTACCATTTTTTATCTTTTATAGTGTGTTTTTACCATGACTTTTCTATATTATGTTTAGATAACACAAATACTTACCATTATGTTACAGTTACATATAGTGTTCCACATAGAAACATGCTGTGCAAGTTTGTAGCCTAGGATCAACAGGCTATACCATGTAGCCTAGGTATATAGTAGGTTTGGGTACCATCTATTTTTGTATTAGTATATTCTATAATGTTTGTACAACAATAAAATCACCTAACAAGCCATTTTTCAGAATATATCCCCATTGTTAAGCAATACATGACTGTATTTTAATTTTGGGATTTATCTGTTATAATAACTAACACAATCATATAAAATAATCTTGTTCTCAGAGGAACTTACTTCTAACAAGGGAGAAACCCTCCTTCAAATGTCTTTTGGAGATAAGATACAGTTATATAAAATAATGAGGTGATAAGGCAAAGAACCAAAAATTATAGCTTAAGAAATCAGCCACATAATAAAATTAAGGAATCTGGGTTGCAAGGAAGGATGGGATCACTTAAGTCTATAGAGCTGTTAGAAAAGGCCTTATGTTGGAAGCATCCTTTTAACTTCATTTCGAAGGATGGGTAGCAGTGTAACAGTGAGAAATGAGGTCGAAAGGCATTTGATGCAGAAGGAACTGTATGACTAAGCAGGGAAGAAGTAAAGTGCAATGATTTGGGAATAGTGAATTGTCTGCCCAAAGGAGTATAGCCTGCACAGAAGTAACCATGAAATGGTTAAACAGCAACCCTCCAAGTTGCTATAGTTCAGAACTTACTGATAACCTGACATATGCATTATAAAGTCCATGGCTTTGGCACTATGGAGGGAGAAAGATGTATTTGAGGAAGGTCATCTCACCTTCAAAGTTTTTCTCTTCTTTTCAAAAATCCAGGTACTAAAACATCTCTCTCACCACTGTAGATAATGAGAGAGTGATACAGGGACTTCAAAGATCTGAGAGGTCATAGAACAGAGAGGGGCAAGATATATTTCCAGTGAACTCTAAACTAAAAGGAAATCATTCCCCTGAAAATTGACATTTCTCAAGAAGCATCATAAAAGTGACAAATCCTCCAGTCCCCTCAAAAAAATGCATTAGATTTGTGCTATTGTCAGCAAGAATAGGGCAAATAATGTTACATTGATTACAGAGCCTTCTTCAACTTTGTGAATGAGACTAGAACTTTTTTCTTGATATAAAGCTCTGATAAATAACCATCCTATCAGAGATGGACATGTTCTACAAACAGTGACTGAGAAATCTAGATGATAAGAGGGGATAATATGGCTAAGAAGCACTGCAACCTTATTTAAAAGGGGTTAAAAATTGAGAACAGAACCTCACTATACAATAACTATTTTTGAATATTTCCTTACGCTTAAGTTTATAATTTAGAAAATATGTGTTTTCACTCCAAAATATGAATACATTCATTCTTTAGAATGATCCTTTCAGGTCTGTAATTGACAGCTAATTAATTATTTAATAATATCTAGAAAACACATCTGCATTACACTTTAGTTTATATGTAGAATTGTACATTTATAAACAAATATCCATGAGCAAATAACTCTGCTTCCCTGCAAAAAGTCAGATAAGTCTTGTCTACAGAAAGAGAATATTCTCCTTTTTTAAAGGATCATCTTGGCAAAGGTGCAAAAGAGACCTGGCCAAACATAAACCAGTTCCTACTACGTTCTTTTTAAAAGTTTGAATCACATTAGTATGACTCCTTAAAAAAGGAATAGTGTTTCTTTGTTTCTGTTTGCCTTTTTAAAGACATACATAGTTTTCACACGTTTTGTTGTTGTTGTTTTTGCAAACAGTAGAGGTCCTAGCGATCTGTGTTGTTTGTTCAGCTTCCCTTGGGCTACGGAAAAGTCAGAGGCTCATTTCCAAGAGAGTACTGTGTGAAAACACAGTGGAGAGAAGTTGTAGAGTAAGCAAAGGAAATGACCCCAACGGTTTGTTCAACAGTTTGGCAGCAGCTTCCTATACCTGGGACTAATCATGCCAATCCCTGTTACTGTCAAATGTGTCCTAAGCAAGTGTCCCCTCTTTTTTTTTTTTTTTTTTTGCTATTATCTTGCTTCGTCTTACCTTGTGCTACAATAATTTATAAGAAGAGGAGTTTCAGATAAATTTATGCTTTAAAGAAATTTTCTTTTAAATTGATGCAAATGTCAAGGGAAGACAAAATATCCCCCAACTACACAGATCAGTTTCCCTCCTTTCTCTCTTTACATACCATTCCAAAAAATCTAAAATATGCATTACTGAAGATTCTTTTGGATAAGAAAAAAAAGGAAATGTACTCTGGGCATGAACAATAATTTTTCTGAAGCCTTAATTCTTTCTAAAATGGAAAACTATTGGAAAACTAACCTGCATGGTTCTAAGAACATTTTCCACAAAAAAAAAAAATAATAATTCAATTCAAAGATCTAAACCTGAGTAGAATTTATGGTGATTGCTCTTAGTCTACATGCTTACCTGGGTTTTCTCTTCAGAAAAGCCATACTTTACTTCATATCATAATCTTTTCTTTTTAACTTGGCAAACTCATTTTCTATCTTCTCACCTTCTTACACTCCAGCAATGATGACCTACTTTAATTCATTTTAATATATCCTGGTGTTTCATGGCCCCCATCAATTTGCTCATTCTGTTTGCTTTAGGTATTATAGAATGTGTCTTTCTTCCTTTGTTCACTTGCTGAACTCCTATTCATCTTCCAAACCCTTTGTGCCAGTCAAGGTTCAATGTAAGAAATAAAAGTCAGCTGGATATGCCAGACAGAAAGGCATTTAATACGAGGCATGAAGTGCCAACAAAACTGTTGAAAGGACTAGAGGAGCACAGGTCCGGGGCCACCAAAAAGTTTTCAGGTCACATGGCTACCTATGTCAGAGTTATCCCACAGCCAAGGCTGGCAGTGAAAAAAGGAGTCTGTGCATTGCCATATATATATATGTGTTTACTGTATATATATATATATATATATATATATATATATATATATATATAGTATACAGTATACGTATATATATAAATATATATATATATTTGCTGTATCATATATCTCAACTGCTATCACTACTAAAGGAAAAATGAACTCTACCTCCCTCCTGCCTTGCAAATTTTGCACCACAGTCTCTCATTACAGTTATTAGCCTTCCAACTCCAAGGTGTAGGGACACTGAAGAGAAGGAAATAGGTGCTTCTTGCCAAAGATAATATCTAAGACTCCATAGCTCAAGCCTCATATCCCATCCTCAAGCCTCTCTCTGGACTTTCCACCCCCAAATAATCTTGCTTCATCATTCCCTTCACTTTATCACCTCTATTCTTTACTAAACATATTCTTCTATTATCTTAGCAGTCCCACAATATTGCAATATAGTATTTATAGCTATGTCTATACTTTATAAACCACAAGGTATCTAAGACAAGTCTCAATCAATTTAGAGGTTTATTTTGTCAAGGTTAAGGACATGCTGGTGACACAGCCTCAGGAGGTCCTGATAATATGTGCCCAGGGTGGTTGGATGACAGCTTGATTTTACACATTTTAGGGAAACATACGACACCAATCAATACATGTAAGATGTACATTGGTTCAGTCCAGAAAGGTAGGACAACTCGAAGCAGAGGGAGGCTGCAGGGAGCTTCCAGGTCATAGGAAGATTCAAAGATTTTCTGATTGGCAATTAGTTAAAAGTTATTACCTAAACACCTGAAATCAATAGAAAGGAACATCTGGGTTAAGATAAGGTGTTGTGGAGACCAAGGTTTCATCATTCAGATGAAACCTCCAGGAAGCAGACTTCAAATCTCTTATCACACCTAAAAAGATGTCAGACTCTTAGTTAATTCTTTCCTGGATCAGGGAGAAAACTTGGAAAGGAAGGAAGATTCTCTAAAGAAAGTAGATTTTCCCCACAGAGACAGCTTTGCAGGACCATTATAAAATATGTCAAAGAAATATATTTTGGGGTAAAATACTTTGATTTCTTTCAGGGCCTGCTATCCATTGTGTGATGCTATACTAGAGTCAGGCTGGAATTATTTGGTGTCTTATTGCTGTTTTGTCAGTCTTGAGATCTCTGTTTGAATGTTAATCCTGGTAAGCTGTGCCTGAATTGCAAATGGAGGGCAATATAATAAAGTATGTCCAACCCCTGCTTCCCACCATGCTCTGAACTAGTTTTTCAGGTTAACTTTGGAATGCCCTTGGCTGAGGAAATGGTCCATCGGTCAGCTGCGGGGTGCTTAGAATTTTATTTTTGGTTCACAAATACATGTGTTTATCATTTTATTCATCCTTGTTTAATCTTCAGTGCCTAGCATAGACTCTGAACATAATATATTTTATACATTTTATTTCACCAAATTTTATTAAATATCACTTTAATTTGCAAAAGAATTACTAACTTTGAAAACTGAAATTTGCTGTTTCAATATCCTCTTTCAGTAGATTTGAAAAATTTGGAGTTGGGAAGTAGTGACATTCAACTCAACTGAAATTTCAGTAAATTCTCCTTTTCTTAGAAGAATAATAGGATACTATTCAATTAAAAATATGAAATTTGGGGGTTCTTTGGTTCTAATAGATTATTTCCTTAATGTATTCTCCAGTGATCAATTTGCTCTTCTCAATTGGAAATTAAAAAATGAGGTATGTTATTGCACTTATTTAAATTATAGTTCATTTTGAATTGTGTTAAATAACCTCTGGGCATGCTTATAAGGCTCACGAGTAAGAATACAGCAAGCAATTGGAATTTCTTTTAAAAAAAAATAGACCAAGTACCCATGCCCATGGAGCCTTGCTCACTGCTAGCACAGCAGTCCAATATTCAACTGCAAGGCAGGAGTGAGGCTAGGGGAGGGGCATCCATCATTGCTGAGGCTTGACTAGGTAAACAAAGCAGCCAGGAAGCTCGAACTGGGTGGAGCCCACTGAAGCTCAAGGAGGCCTGCCTGCCTTTGTAGACTCCACCTCTGGGGGCAGGGCATTAGCGCAACAAAAGGCAGCAGAAACTTCTGCAGACTTAAACGTCCAGGTCTGACAGCTTTGAAGAGAGTAGTGGCTCTCCCAGCAAGGAGTTTGAGATCTGAGAATGGACAGACTGCCTCAAGTGGGTCCCCAACCCCCGGGTAGCCTAACTGGGAGACGCCTCCCAGTAGGGGCCAACTGACACTTCATACAGCCGGGTGCCCCTCTGAGACGAAGCTTCCAGAGGAAGGATCAGTCAGCAACATTTGCTGTTCTGCAACCTCCACTGGTGATACCCAGGCAAACAGGGTCTGGAGTGGACCTCCAG
Source organism: Homo sapiens (assembly GCF_000001405.40). NCBI lineage: Eukaryota > Metazoa > Chordata > Mammalia > Primates > Hominidae > Homo > Homo sapiens. Next base: position 90,070,822 of record NC_000007.14, read on the forward strand.
CAAACTCCAGCAGACCTGCAGGGAGTTTGTTAGGGACGTGACTGTTAGAAGCAAAACTAACAAACGAAAAGGAACAGCATCAATATCAACAAAAAGGACATCCATGCCAAAACCCCATGTGTAGGTCACCATCATCAAAGACCAAAGGTAGATAAAACCACAAAGATGGGGAGAAACCAAAGCAGAAAAGCTGAAAACTCTAAAAATCAGAATGCCTCTTCTCCTCCAAAGGAACACAGCTCCTCGCCAGCAATGGAACAAAGCTGGATGGAGAATGACTTTGACAAGTTGACAGTGTAGGCTTCAAAAGAACAGTAATAACAAACTTCTCCGAGCTAAAGGAGGAGTTCGAAACCATCGAAAAGAAGCTAAAAACCTTGAAAAAAGATTAGACGAATGGCTAACTAGAATAAACAGCATAGAGAAGACCTTAAATGACCTGATGGAGTTGAAAACCATGGAACGAGAAATACGTGACACATGCACAAGCTTTAACAGCCGATTCCATCAAGTGGAAGAAAGGGTATCAGTGATTAAAGATCAAATTAATGAAATGAAGTGACAAGAGAAGTTTAGAGAAAAAAGAGTAAAAAGAAAGGAACAAAGCCTCCAAGAAATATGGGACTATGTGAAAAGACCAAATCTAGATCTGATTGGTGTACCTGAAACTGACAGGGAGAATGGAACCAAGCTGGAAAACACTCTGCAGGATATCATCCAGGAGAACTTCCCCAACCTAGCAAGGCAGGCCAACATTCAAATTCAGGAAATACAGAGAACACCACAAAGATACTTCCCGAGAAGAGCAACCCCAAGACACATAACTGTCAGATTCACCAAGGTTGAAATGAAGGAAAAAATGTTAAGGGCAGCCAGAGAGAAAGGTCAGGTTACCCACAAAGGGAAGCCCATCAGACTAACAGCTGATCTCTCGGCAGAAACTCTACAAGCCAGAAGAGAGTGGGGGCCAATATTCAACATTCTTAAAGAAAAGAATTTTCAACCCAGAATGTCATATCCAGCCAAAGTAAGCTTCATAATTAAAGGAGAAATAAAATCCTTTACAGATAAGCAAATGCTGAGAGATGTTGTCACCACCAGGCCTGCCTTACAAGAGCTCCTGAAAGAAGCACTAAATATGGAAAGGAACAACCTATACCAGCCACTGCAAAAACATGCCAAATTGTAAAGACCATCAAGGCTAGGAAGAAACTGCATCAACTAATGAGCAAAATAACCAGCTAACATCATAATGACAGGATCAAATTCACACATAACAATATTAACCTTAAATGTAAATGGGCTAAAAGCCCCAATGAAAAGACACAGATTGGCAAATTGGATAAAGAGTCAAGACCCATCAGCGTGCTATATTCAGGAGACCCATCTCACGTGCAGAGACACACATAGGCTCAAAATAAAGTGATGGAGGAAGATCTACCAAGCAAATAGGAAGCAAAAAAAGGCAGGGGTTGCAATCCTAGTCTCTAATAAAACAGACTTTAAACCAACAAATATCAAAAGAGACAAAGAAGACCATCACGTAATGGTAAAGGGATGATTTCAACAAGAAGAGCTAACTATCCTAAATACATAGGCTCCCAATACAGGAGCACCCAGATTCACAAAACAGGTCCTCAGAGACCTACGAAGAGACTTAGATTCCCACACAATAATAATGAGAGACTTTGACACCTCATTGTCAACATTAGAAAGATCAATGAGACAGAAAGTTAACAAGGATATCCAGGAATTGAACTCAGCTCTGCACCAAGCAGACCTAATAGACTTCTACAGAACTCTCCACCCCAAATCCATGGAATATACATTCTTCTCAGCACCACATCGCACTTATCCCAAAATTGACCACATAGTTGGAAGGAAAGCACTCCTCAGCAAATGTAAAAGAACAGAAATTATAACAAACTGTCTCTCAGACCACAATGCAATCAAATTAGAACTCAGGATTAAGAAACTCACTCAAAACCGCTCAACTACATGGAAACTGAACAACCTGTTCCTGAATGACTACTGGGTAAATAACAAAATGAAGGCAGAAATAAAGATGTTCTTTGAAACCAATGAGAACAAAGACACAACATACCAGAATCTCTGGGACACATTTAAAGCAGTGTGTAGCGGGAAATTTATAGCACTAAATGCCTACAAGAGAGAGCAGGAAAGATCTAAAATTGACACCCTAACATCACAATTAAAAGAACTAGAGAAGCAAAAGCAAACACATTCAAAAGCTAGCAGAAAGCAAGAAATAACTAAGATCAGAACAGAACTGAAGGAGATAGAGACACAAAAAACCCTTCAAAAAATCAATGAATCCAGGAGCTGATTTTTTGAAAAGATCAGCAAACTGATAGACCGCTAGCAAGACTAATAAAGAAGAAAAGAGGGAAGAATCAAATAGATGCAATAAAAAATGATAAAGGAGATATCACCACCGATCCCACAGAAATACAAACCACCATCGGAGAATACTAGAAACACCTTACGCAAATAAAATAGAAAATCTAGAAGAAACGAATAAATTCCTGGACACATACACCCTCCCAAGACTAAACCAGGAAGCAGTTGAATCCCTGAATAGACCAATAACAGGCTCTGAAATTGAGGCAATAATTAATAGCCTACCAAGCAAAAAAAAAGTCCAGGACCAGACAGATTCACAGCCGAATTGTACCAGAGGTACGAAGAGGAGCTGGTACCATTCCTTCTGAAACTATTCCAATCAATAGAAAACGAGGGAATCCTCCCTAACTCATTTTATGAGGCCAGCATCATCCTGATACCAAAGCCTGGCAGAGACACAACAAAAAAAGAGAATTTTAGACCAATATCCCTGATGAACATTGATGCAAAAATCCTCAATAAAATACTAGCCAAACTAATCCAGCAGCACAATAAAAAGCTTATCCACCATGATAAAGTTGGCTTCATCCCTGGGATGCAAGGCTGGTTCTACATACCCAAATCAATAAACATAATTCACCATATAAACAGAACCAAAGGAAAAAAACCACGTGATTATCTCAATAGATACAAAAAAAAAAAGCCTTTGACAAAATTCAACAGCCCTTCATGCTAAAAAGTCTCAATAAATTAGGTATTCATGGGACGTATCTCAAAATAATAACAGCTATTTATGACAAACCCACAGCCAATATCATAATGTGTGGGCAAAAACTGGAAGCATTCCCTTTGAAAACTGGCACAAGACAGGGATGCCGTCTCTCATCACTCCTATTCAACATAGTGTTGGAAGTTCTGGCCAGGGCAATCAGGCAGGAGAAAGAAATAAAGAGTATTCAGTTAGGAAAAGAGGAAATCAAATTGTCCCTGTTTGCAGATGACATGATTATTTATATATTTAGAAAACCCCATCATCTCAGCCCAAAATCTCCTTAATCTGATAAGCAGCTTCAGCAAAGTCTCAGGATACAAAATCAATGTGTAAAAATCACAAGCATTAACCTACTCATCTGACAAAGGGCTAATATCCAGAATCTACAATGAACTCAAACAAATTTACAAGAAAAAAACAAACAACCCCATCAAAAAGTGGGCGAAGGACATGAACAGACACTTCTCAAAAGAAGACATTTATGCAGCCAAAAAACACATGAAGAAATGCTCATCATCACTGGCCATCAGAGAAATGCAAATCAAAACCACTATGAGATATCATCTCACACCAGTTAGAATGGCAATCATTAAAAAGTCAGGAAACAACAGGTGCTGGAGAGGATGTGGAGAAATAGGAACACTTTTACACTGTTGGTGGGACTGTAAACTAGTTCAACCATTGTGGAAGTCAGTGTGGCGATTCCTCAGGGATCTAGAACTAGAAATACCATTTGACCCAGCCATCCCATTACTGGGTATATACCCAAAGGACTATAAATCATGCTGCTATAAAGACACATGCACACGTATGTTTATTGCGGCACTATTCACAATAGCAAAGACTTGGAACCAACCCAAATGTCCAACAATGATAGACTGGATTAAGAAAATGTGGCACATATACACCATGGAATACTATGCAGCCATAAAAAATGATGAGTTCATGTCCTTTGTAGGGACATGGATGAAATTGGAAACCATCATTCTCAGTAAACTATCGCAAGAACAAAAAACCAAACACCGCATATTCTCACTCATAGGTGGGAATTGAACAATGAGATCACTTGGACACAGGAAGGGGAATATCACACTCTGGGGACTGTGGTGGGGTCGGGGGAGGGGGGAGGGATAGCATTGGGAGATATACCTAATGCTAGATGACACGTTAGTGGGTGCAGCGCACCAGCATGGCACATGTATACATATGTAACTAACCTGCACAATGTGCACATGTACCCTAAAACTTAGAGTATAATAAAAAAAAAAAAAAATCACAAGCATTCCTATACACCAATAATAGACAAACAGAGAGCCAAATCATGAGTGAACTCCCATTCACAATTGCTTCAAAGAGAATAAAATACCTAGGAATCCAACTTACAAGGGACATGAAGGACCTCTTCAAGGAGAACTACAAACCACTGCTCAGTGAAATAAAAGAGGATACAAACAAATGGAAGAACATTCCATGCTCATGGGTAGGAAGAATCAATATCGTGAAAATGGCCATACTGCCCAAGGTAATTTATAGATTTAATGCCATCCCCACCAAGCTACCAATGACTTTCTTCACAGAATTGGAAAAAACTAAAGTTCATATGGAATCAAAAAAGAGCCTACATTGCCAAGACAATCCTAAGCAAAAAGAACAAAGCTGGAGGTATCACGCTACCTGACTTCAGACTATACTACAAGGCTACAGTAACCAAAACAGCATTGTACTGGTACCCAAACAGAGATATAGACCAATGGAACAGAACGGAGCTCTCAGAAATAATACCATACATCTACAATCATCTGATCTTTGACAAACCTGACAAAAACAAGAAATAAAGAAAGGATTTCCTATTTAATAAATGGTGCTGGGAAAACTGGCTAGCCATATGTAGAAAGTAGAAACTGGATCCTTCCTTACACCTTATTCAAAAATTAATTCAAGATGGATTAAAGACTTAAATGTTAATCCTAAAACCATAAAAACCCTAGAAGAAAACCTAGGCAATACCATTCAGGACATAGGCATGGGCAATGACTTCATGACTAAAACACCAAAAGCATGGCAACAAAAGCCAAAATAGACTAATGGGATCTAATTAAACTAAAGAGCTTCTGCACAGCGAAAGAAACTACCATCAGAGTGAACAGGCAACCTACAGAATGGGAGAAAATTGTTGCAATCTACTCATCTGACAAAGAGCTAATATCCAGGATCTGCAAATAACTTAAACAAATTTACAGGAAAAAATTCAAACAACCCCATCAAAAAGTGGGCGAAGGATATGAACAGACACTTCTCAGAAGAAGACATTTATGCAGCCAACAGACACATGAAAAAATGCTCATCATCACTGGCCATCAGCAAAATGCAAATCAAAACCACAGTGGGATACCATCTCACACCAGTTAGAATGGCAATCCTTAGAAAGTCAGGAAACAACAGGTGCTGGAGAGGATGTGGAGAAATAGGAACACTTTTACACTGTTGGTGGGACTGTAAACTAGTTCAACCATTGTGGAAGACAGTGTGGTGATTCGTCAAGGATCTAGAACTAGAAATAAATACCATTTGACCCAGTGATCCCATTACTGGGTATATACTCAAAGGATTATAAATCATGCTGCTATAAAAACACATGCACACGTATGTTTATTGCAGCACTATTCCCAATAGCAAAGACTCAGAACCAACCCAAATGTCCATCAGTGATAGACTGGATTAAGAAAATGTGGCGTATATACACCATGGAATACTATGCAGCCATAAAAAAGGATGAGCTCATGTCCTTTGCAGGGACATGGATGAAGCTGGAAACCATAATTCTCAGCAAACTATCACAAGGACAGAAAACCAAACACCAAATGTTCTCACTCATAGGTGGAAATTGAACAATGAGAACATTTGGACACAGGGTGGGCCTGAAGTGAGGTAGGGGGAGGGGAGAGGGATAGCATTAGGAGAAATACCTAATGTAAATGATGAGTTAATGGGTACAGCACACCAACATGGCACATGTATACATATGTAACAAACCTGCACATTGTGCAAATGTGCCCTAGAACTTAAAGTATAATAAAAAAAAAAAAAAGACTAAGTATCAAAAGAATGTTCAAATAAGGTTCAGAATATAATTTTATGTTCACTCACAATTTCTTCACTCAAGTATGGTGGACAGATAAAAAATATCTATACGTAGCCTTTCTCATCCCTGGAGTGGGGCTGAGCTACTTTTTCAAACCAAACTAGGCATGGTCCTGTGATTCTAAACCATGAAGTTATATATTTTTTAAATATCCATAGACATGTAATATTCCTCCAGACTCCATGCAAAAACGAGTTGTCCACCGGAGACTTGATTAGAGGGAAAACTAGTATTTAATAAAACTAGCAATAAATTTTTAAATACTAAACTAGAAGTGTTTTGTGTATAATTACACCACAAACTAAGAGATTATTATATAGCTAAAGGTGGATTTACTTTCAGTTTCACATAAATTCTGTAATAAGAATCAAAAGTAAAATTAGACTATACTAGAGAAAAATCAGAAGCAGGCATTGCAATAATCAGAACAGAAATTAACTGCAGAAGATACAGCTTTCATCATCAGCTTTCAAGATACTTTTAAGTGTTTCTCTTGACCTTTAAAATGAAGTACCTGAGTTATAATACTTGTGCTGAGAATATCAAAGAATCAGAATTCAGCAATAATATGGACTCAATGTTTGTGCCCCTCAAAATTCATATGTTGAAGCCCTGACTGTCAGTGTGGCTGTACTTGAAAATGGGGCCTCTAAGGAACTAATTAAGGTTAAATGAGATAATGAGATTGGGGCCTTGATTCAATACGATTAATGTCCTTATTAAGTAGAGACACTAGAGAATGCTCGTGTGCTCGCTCTCGCTCTCTCTCTCTCTCTCTCTCTCTCTCTCTCTCTCTCTCTCCCTCCCTCCCTGCCTTCCTCCCTCCCTCTCTCTCTCTTTCTGCACACAGAGGATAGGACATGTGCAGACAGTGAGGAGGTGGCCATCTGCAAGCCAGGAAGACAGCCTTCACCAGAAACTGATCATGCTGTCACCCTAATCTTGGACTTCCAGCCTCCAGAAATGTAATAACAATAATTTGTTGTTTAAGCCACCCAATCTATGGTATTTTGTCATGGCAACCAGAGCAGAATAATACAGTCATCAAGACTGCCAACAATCTTCTAGGATCCTTTTCCTGCTCATACTCCCTATCCCCACATACACACATATAATGATTTCACCAAAAAGCTGATGGCTTAGCAAGCAGCATATGGAAAGGGGGTGGCTAAAAAAGTATTAAGATTCTTATCTATTACTATCAAGGAAAATTTCATGCATATACTTTTTTGCTCCTCTGAGATCTCTTCCACTTAAAGTTACTACTGATATAAATATATAGATAAAATTAATGTTATACTCATTATATATCATAAGAATGTTGAGGTAAGGCCATCAGAGTGTGATTTAGCCACCTAGGGAAACCCTGAGCCGACTTTTGTTGGTGTATCACTAAATGGCAATAATAGAAAGGGGATTCTGAGGTCCTCATTCTCTCTTATGAGAACACAAATCCTACTATATATTACTGTGGTAATTATTTATTGTATATAATGTGTTAAAAAAATTTCTAGATTTTGGCAATATAATTGACAATATAAATCAATGTATTTCAAGTCATTGAAATACAAGCTAAATTTAAGAGGTAGAAACACTATCACAATCAAATTAATACTTGGAAGACACTAGATCCATTATTTCCAGGAAAAGGGATAATTTTGGTACAACTAATAAAAGGTATATCCCAAATAAATTGGTTTTTCAGCCTACTTACTATCTACTTTCTTCCAAATTGTTAACTTATAAAGACTTCTTCTAGCTCTAAGCGAGAAACGAAAGCCAAAAACTCTAAATTCCTACTCTTATGATCTTGAGGCTAAGACTCTGAAAACTACTTTTGTCCTCTGTCAGATGGCCTTTTGCTAGGAGCGGCCAGGAGGAGGCACAGGAAAAACCCTGGGAGGCAGGGAAGGGGAGGAAAGAATTCTTACTTCCTGTTCCTGTCTTCCTTGCAGAATGCTAGCTCTGCACTCCAACAGCACCCATTTGCATTCTTAGAACTAGTTTCATTGCCCTCTTCTCTGAAAGATTCATAGTAGCCAGGGCGTGACTGCTCTCAAGTAATCTGAGCCCCAACTTACAGAGTCTGTACTCTTCTAAATTGTAAAATCCCTAACCTCTTCCTTGTGTGCTTCTGGCCCTGGAGATGGTAGCTACTCCTTGCTGTTCTTGCTGGGCTTTCCGGTTTTGTTCTTTCAGCCTTATTTAAGATTATGTTCCCATTGTTGAAATACCTAGTGTGCTTCCTGTTTTCCTGACTGGACTTTCACCAATACATATATGAAAAAATTATCTTTAAATTTTAGGAAGGAGAACCCAAGTAAAACTATTTAAAATTCCACATAGATCTTCCAAAATTGAAAACCATTTCAAATACAAATGGATTTCATATATCTATATATATACACACACATATATATGTGTGTGTGTGTTTATGTGTGTGTGAGTATGAATTTTATATATACATATGTGAATTATACATATATGAGTATATATATGAGTATATATATACACACACACACATATACATACACACACATATGAATGAAAGACTCCTTTAGAAGCACTTTGCCTACATGGTACAAATAAGCATAGGTTTGGGGATTTTACATACAGAAATAGAATTATGCCATATATTTTGTTCTGCACACAAAACAGTTAACTGTGTAATGACACCCTAAAAAGTGAGAGTGAGAGCAAAGATGACCTTCACTTTTCACTTTTGACATTGATTAGGTTTTTTATACTGAGCATTTTACAGTTGCAATTAATTTTTTAAGATTTGTGCTGTTGAAGCAAACAATTTTCTGTTGTTTTACAGGTTATTGATAGGATCACCAGCCCTGTCCTTTTAATTGCCTAACACAGTCTTAGGTAGCCTACAGCAGGCACACATTAAATGACCAATACCGGCTTCAAGTTTCTCCTCTCTAACTTGGCAAAAAAGATTAACCATTATGGTTCAAGCCATGTATGTAACACTCTAGTCCAGGTTTTCTCGTCTTGAATATCCATGCCTTTGTAAGCATAACACAATTCATGCTTCAGTATAACACTGGGGTCGTCTTTACAGAACACAGATCATGTTACCAAAAGTGACTTCAAACTAAAATAAAATGCCTATTTTTATTTCTCAAACATGGTGAAAACGAAAAATGGTCCTAGTAACATTTTTTATCACCGTTTTCTTCTTTCACCCCTGCTATGACATTATGTTTGCGCTCCCAAGCTACACCCCTCAAATCCTCCTCACACCTCACAACAAAAACAAAAACAAAACCAAACTCCTTCCAGCAATTTCTAGTTTATCTTTTCTTTTTGATCTTGCATCACAAAATCTCAGATATTAATCTGTCCAATATAACACATTTTGGACAGCCTAGGAGAGGAAGAGTTTGAGTAGGTCAGACCAGAATTCTTTTGAGTAGGGAGGAGGAATTTAAGGAACTGACAGCAGGTAACTGATATCTGCCCAGGCTGTGTAGGCTGCATGGTGCTATAGCTTTCCCTCTCTGTAGATTCAGGGCTCCAAATGTATCCTTTATGACAGTGATGTCCTCTTTGCAGAACTAACATTTTTCTAACGCTAACAAGACAGGATGGGGATTTTGAACTTGTTAAGTTACATCTATTTATAGTGGCAGCTTCCATTTGAGGCTCCCTGGTACCTCCCATTTGTGAGGCTCTGTGGTACCTTCATGCACTACTATGACACTTTTCATTCTTCCCAAGCAATAAGTCACTAGAGTTATTATTTATTCATTTCCAACTCAGTATCCTAGAAGTTATGTAAGTGCAAATAAACATGGACTAAGAATCAGGAGCAATATAATTCATAATTTGTCAAAAAATTCATAGTTGTGATAAATGTAATATTTTTGTTCAGTTTCACTATCAAGAATAAGGAAAAATGCCTCTTCTACCACTTTTTAACTAATATATGTGAAGTATATAAAACATGTACAATAATAGGAACATAGTACATGTACATTAGGTAGCCACTGATTTCTTGCTTGAAATATAAAGTATATGAAGTTTAAAGCACTGGTAGAAATAGTAACATTTATAGTTGTTAAGGAGAAATAAGAAACATCATTCCCAAGAGAAATGAGCATGTCAAATAACCAAGGAGGAAAGGAGGGAAATTATTACAGCAAGGAAAGGGGAGAAATAGCAGAAACGGCAATGTTGAATGCAAAGATGCCTATAAGTACTGAGGAATGGGATCTAATGTCAATGAATTCATCTGCCCACCCTAGCTAGTATTGCAAGATCATGAGATTTAATCAGTTTTTGGCATTTTACCATTGGCCTTCTACTGAATTAACAATAGAAAACTCTTATCTCAAAACAGATTAAAATACTAATTTGTATACAAATCATAACTATAAAAGTCTATTATACCATCTTCAAATTCTGACACTGGATCTCTCCATTTAAGAAAGAAAAACAAAATACATCACAGTTCCATTTGATAATCTCACACATTGGGTAATTTTTCTTTTATTTTCATTGGTTTTGTTTTAATGTGAAAATCCCTCACAAAAAATAATCATAGGATGCTGTCCAGGTATATTTTAGTGCTCTGGGAAAAGATGAATAGCCAACCTATAATAACGCTTGTTCAAGGCCTAGTAATCACTACAAATGCTCTGGCCTAGTTGGGAAGGCCACCTCAATCCTTATCATTGCTTACAGACAGCAGTAAAGCACAAAAACACTGCTGAGTAATAGCTGGTGACCTCATCACTCTTTCCTACAGAATGTTGTCCTTTATCAGTGTCAGTCTCAAATCAATCGATTAGAATACAGCGCTGGTTATAAAACCCCACTTGCCTTCTGCTTCAGTGTAATGCAACCATTCTGTTTGTTTGCTCCTCAACCTCAATTTGCAGGAAAGGAACTGCAAAGATCAATTGGAAACCTCAACTTATGCACAACTACTTGGAAATCATTTTTTTATATTGATATAGTGTCAATGAAAATGAAAGTGAAAAATACTACTCACTTGAGGGGAAAAAAAAGAAATACTCTCAAGAGCTATGTTCAAGTACAATACAAAGGTTGAGTGATTGGAATTCTTTTGTGGGTAACCTGAGTGACAGCGGAAGAATACTAATATGTTGGGCCTCGGGGAAGTGTTAGCCTAATAATCTCTGCCTTCTCTTACAGTGCATGAGTGCAAGACTCTTATTCTGAAAAAGAAAAATAAAGTACTGAGAGATGTTTAATGCCAGTAAGAGACAATAATGGTACTTAGAAATTTAACAAACCAAAGACAAATCCAGCACTTAAAATTTATCCCAAGCAATAACTATAAATTAGTTAAAAAGATACCACCAAAGTTCTAGATCCATGTCAGAGGAGTACAAAAGAAAGAATATCTCAGTACCTAATTGCCACTAGATTTCTAATTGCCTCTAAACCTCTTCCTTAA